>NW_025791762.1:333720-500581 GCF_000001405.40 Homo sapiens | reverse complement strand
TTAAATGGGATCAATAATAAAAAGCCTACCAAAAGCCCAGGACCAGATTGATTCACAATTGAATTCTACCAAACATATAAGGAAGAGCTGGTACCATTCCTACTGAAACTATTCCAAAAATTGAGGAGAAGGGGCTCCTCCCTAACTCACTCTATGAGACCAGTGCCATCTTGATGCCCAAACCTGGCAGAGACACAATAAAAAAGAAAAGTTCAGGCCAATATCCTTGATAAACATAGATGCAAACATCCTCAACAAAATACTAGCCAACTGAATCCAGCAACGCATCAGAAAGCTCATTCACCATGATAAAGTAGGCTTTATCCCTGGGATACAAGTTTGGTTCAATATATGCAAATCAATAAATGTAATTCATCCATCTAAACAGAACAAAAAATAAAAACCACATGATCATCTCAATAGAGGTAGAAAAGGATTTTGATAAAATTCAGCATCCCTTCATGTTAAAAACCGCCAACAAACTGGCATTAAAGGAACATAACTCAAAATCATAACAGCAATCTATGACAAACCCACAGTCAACATCATACTGAACAGGCAAAAGCTGGAAGCATTCCCCTTGAGAACTGGAGCAAGACAAGGATGCCCATTCTCACCACTCCTATTCAATATACTACCGGAAGTCCTAGCCAGAGCAATCAGGCAAGAGAAAGGAACAAAAGGTATCCTAAAATAAGAAGAGATGAAGTCAAATTTATCTCTGTTTGCAGATGATATGATTTTATACCTAGAAAACTCCATAGTATCTCCCCAAAAGCTCCTAGGTATGATAAACAACTTCAGCAGGGTTTTTGGATATAAAATCAATTTACAAAAATAATAAGCATTTCTATACACCAATAGTGTTCAAGCTGAGTGCCAAATCTAGAACACAATCACATTCATAATAGCCACACACACAGAACATAAAATACCTAGGAATACAGCTAAGCAGGGCCCGCAGCACCTGGGATGTGGAAGCCTCAGAGGAGTCAAGGCCTGGGTCTCTCTATGAGCAGCAAAATGAAAACAACACTTTAGCTGGTTTCCAGTGCACCCATAATCTCCCTATAGTGCACTTTAGAGACAATTTTAAAGTGATTTAACTCACAGAATTGTCTATATAATATTTTTAAGGTATACACTTTTAAACATGTTATTCACATTATAGAAAAGTGTATAATGAGAGAAATAGTTCCCATAATGTATCAACTTCTGGGCTAAAAATTCTTTAGATAAAATCCAATATCCATTTTCTATCCACGTACCCCTATGTAAATATATACTTTACTGAGGAACCTTAGAAGGAAAGTGGGAAGATGGTTCATGTTCTTGAATAGAAAGAATTTTCTCAAGATGTGAGCTCTTTCTGTATTTATCAATTTTGCCTAAACCAAATAAAAACACCAAAGTTTTAACGTTTAAAAATTACACTTGCTGTCTTTTACTGTTATGATGACATTAAAATTTTTTTGTAATGCAACGAAAAATGACTTGCCTTCCTCGATATCAAAATGTGCCATTAATTTCTATAAGTCATTTACTAACAGCTGAAAGACATAAATGAATGGAACAGACTAGAAAATCCAGAAACACCCATATATATGAAATAATTTAGAACTTGATAATGGTGACATTTCATATTAGTAGAAAAAGATGAATTATTCATAAATGGAATGCCTGCTGTTTGGAGAAAACTAGCTGATTTTTATGTCACAAAAATAGGTTCCTGGTGGAATATAGATTAAAAATTTTAAATATACAAAATGAGAAAACTACCAGAAGAAAACACAAATGCCTATTTATACAGATACTTTTTTTTTTTTTTTTGAGAAAGAGAGTCTCGCCCTGTCACCCAGGCTAGAGTGCAGTGGCGCGATCTTGGCTCACTGTAACCTCCGCCTCCCAGGTTCAAGCAATCCTCTTGCCTCAGCCTCCCAAGTAGCTAGGATTACAGGCATGCACCACCATGCCCAGCTAATTTTTGTATTTTTAGTAGAAACGGGGTTTCACCATGTTGGTCAGGCTGATCTCGAACTCCTGATCCACCCGCCTCAGCCTCCCAAAGTGCTGGGATTACAGGCATGAGCCACCGCGCCTGGCATACAGATACATTTTCACGTTGACAAAGACCTTCCTAAGGACTTCACGAGCAAACATTTTGAAGGTTGGTTTAGCAAAATAAAAATTAAAACACCCCATATATAAGAAAAAAAATCAACAAAACACAACATACTTGCAAAGTATTTACAACATACATGTATATACACATATCAGATGAGCAATGTATTTTCACGTTCAGCAATGAGGCTCCGTCTCAAAAAAACCAAACCAAACAAAACAGAACAAAAATAAACATAAATGCCATGAAAACCAAAAAGACTGAGAAACTATCTCAGATTAAGAGACTAAAGAAACAGGATAACTGGACACAAAACATCATGGACTGTGAATCCCCATCTTTGATTTTCTTTGGCTACAAAGGATATTAGGGAGACAGCTGGCACAATCTGAATAAGGTCTGTAGATTAGATATTAATATTAGACAAACTTGAATTTCCTCATTTGTGAATCATACCATAATAATGTAAGATAATTATTTTTAGGAAGCACACACTGAAATATTTACAGAGGCATCAGGTTCAAAACTTACAAAATGTTCACAAAAAATTCATTATATATATATATTTGTATTTATCTAGAAAGAGAAAAGGAGGAGAATGAATAAAGCAAATGTGGTAAAGTGTTAATATCTGAGGAATTACATCCAAGAATTTTTTGTACAATTCTTATAATTTTTTTCTCTAAATCTGAAATTGTAAAAATAAAGCATTTCTAAAAAGAAAAGCTGATTTAAAAAATATTAACAAATTATAACCCACTGAATGAAATAAGCCATGAATCCATGTTGATACCAGTAAATGAGTAAATTGAAAGTCTAATGAGGAACAGATGTATTTCCATAGTCTCAAATTTCCTCCTCACAAAATACAAATTAATTACAAGGTGAAAAAATAACATGACAGAGGAGAAACCCAGCATATGCCACCATTGGTGATCAAGGCTAACATCACCAATAACAAAACAAATCAAAATTGTAGGTCCCATGGTAAGATGCAATGAGATCACAGGATACTCATCAAAAAATGTATGGTCCAAGTCTAATACTAAAAGAAACATCAGAGAAACCCAACTGAGGAAATTTCTACATTACTGGACTTTGCTTTTCAAAAGAGTAAAGGTCATGAAGGTCAAGGAAAGACTGAGGAGCTGTTCCAGACTGAAGGAGTCTAAGAGACATGACAACTAAATGCAATCCATGAATTTGAATGAGATCCTTTTGCTGTAAAGGACATTACAGACAAGTAATAAAACTTAAAAAGAATCTGAGGGTTACATAACAGAATGTATTACCTAACAATGTATTCATATTAACTTTCTGATTATGAAAGTTGCATTGTAGTTAGAATGTTCTGACCCGTAGCAACACTCACCAAAGTAATCTGGGGTGATTTACTCTCAAATGTTTCTGGGGGAAAATGTTCTTTGTGTAAAACTTAGAACTTTTCTCTAATTTTAAGACTGTTTCCAGAAAGTTAATCAAAAACATCTTCGTTCATGTAACGCAATTCCCTACTATGTGCTGTACATTGAGCTGGACATGGGGTCCGTGATGCCCAAGCAAGCTGCTGTCCTCCAGATGTTCATGTTCTGGTGACCTCAGGAAACTATTAAAATATAAGGAGGTGTGCAACTGGCATTCCCAAACTCTACTTGTGGGAATGCTAACTGGCACAACCTTTTGGAAGGCAATTTATCATGCAGCAAGAGTCCACAACTGCACATGTCCTTTGATCCAATCATTTGACTCATCAGCTCCAGAGAAATAACTAGAAATGCAAAAAGAGACTGATGGCTAAACGTGTTGATTGAAGTGCTATTTATAATAATGAAAATTTGAAGTATCCCCAATTATGGAGGATTGGTACTAGTAAGATTTACTTTCTACCGGGATTATGTGTTACTTTTGTAATCAGAAAAATAAATATTATAGTCATGCGGCATATAATGATGTTTTGGTCAATGACAGACTGCATATACAACAGTGGTCCCATATGATTATAATGTCATATTTTTACTGTAGCTTTTCTGTGTTTAGATGCACAAATACTTGCTATATGGTCTGTAGCTGAGGGACAATATGCTGTACCACGTGATCTGGGTGTGCAGTAGGCTACACCGTCTAGGTTTGTCTACATACACCCTATGATCTTCTCACAACAATGAAATCACCTAATGATTCATTT
Organism: Homo sapiens; assembly: GCF_000001405.40. Taxonomy (NCBI): domain Eukaryota; kingdom Metazoa; phylum Chordata; class Mammalia; order Primates; family Hominidae; genus Homo; species Homo sapiens. The sequence continues at coordinate 496,274 of NW_025791762.1, read as the reverse complement.
CTGAGAATGTATCCCAGACTGTACTGAGGAGCACCATGGGATACAGGCCATAGTTCTGTGCATGATGTGGCTGGAGTCCTGAGGAAGGAGAGGGCTAAGGACTGAATTGTGTCCCGCTCCCCACCCCCAATATTAGATGCTGAAGTTCTAATGCCCAACCTGACTGTATTTGCAGACAAGGCCTATAAGGAGATGGTAAAGGTTAAGTGAGGTCATAAGGGTGGGCCCTGATCCAATAGGATTTGTGTCCTTGTAAGAGATCAGAGAGCTTGGGTGCTACCTGCCCACGCCCTGCCCTGTGGGAGTACATGCCCAGCTGGGTGTCCACATGGGTAGAGGGGCTGGTACCTGTTACCCGCCCATCCCCTCCAGGCTGGGACAAGAGCCCTGTGGGCCTGGGTCCTGGAAAAGGGCCCCCCACCCACATGCTTTCTGGGTGGGTCCCGTCCTGCGGAGTGCTGTGGGAGCTCCACGTGCCCCTGCTGATCTGCCCATCTGAGCCTCGGGGATCCTGGGCACTGAGAACTGGGCGGGGGGTGGGCACTGACATTGGGGACAGAAAGGGGCTGCTAAAGGGGGCACTGTCTGGGCAAGGCCCTGTCTGGGGGGTCGCCCCAGCAGGTACATCCAGCAGTGGGAGGAGCTTTGGATGGGGTGAGTGCCCTGTCCTGAGGGGTATTGTGAGCTGAAGCGGGGGACCTGGAGGTGCAGGGAGAGGAAGTGGAGTGAGTGATGCAGTGGTCCCAAAGTATGTCTCAAGGCCTCAAGACTCTGGTGAAGGGACAGAGAAGCCAGCACTGGTGAGGGAGCAGGGAGAGGGAGCTGGATGGCCCGGCTCTGGGCTAGACACACGGTCCAGCTGGGCTGCGCTGTGGAGCCCCAGTCCCTACCAGGGCTTGTCCTGTTCTCTGAGGCACAGGGACTCCTTGTCCTTGGCTCTGACCCTGTGTCTTCCACAGTTGGGATGTTGAGTCCATGGGCAGAGTGGGGCACAAGGGGACTGAGATGCCAACCCAGACGGATGGCAACTAGAGGCTGCACCTGGCACACACGTCCCATGCAGAAAGCTAACACGCCCTTTGCCAGGCATGGTGGCTCACGCCTGTAATCCCAGCACTTTGGGAGGCCGAGGCAGGCGGATCACAAGTTCAGGAGACAGAGACCATCCTGGCTAACATGGTGAAACCCCGTCTCTACTAAAAAACACAAAAAATTAGCTGGGTGTGGTGGCGGGAGCCTGTAGTCCCAGCTACTCGGGAGGCTGAGGCAGGAGAATGGCGTGAACCCGGGAGGCGGAGCTTGCAGGGAGCCAAGGTTGCGCCACTGCACTCCAGCCTGGGCAACAGAGCGAGACTCCAACTCAAAAAAAAAAAAAAAAAAGAAAGAAAGAAAGCTAACATGCTCTTTATTTGGGGACGAGGGACAGGAAGCACTGGATGGTGCCTGCACAGTGCCAGCCGCTCGCTGGTAGCTGGCCAGCTGTACGATGGTGGGATAATGGACGCGGTAGGCCATGTACTTCTGGGGGTCATCACTGCTGCTTGCCCAATGCACCAAGGGATGTCAGCCTGCCCCTGGTCCCCGGACAGCCCCCTGAGGACCCCAACCCATGGGGCCCAAATGCCTATCCAGGCTGCCCCATGGGGTTCTGTGCTGACAGAGGCTATCCTCACACCAAGAACAGGAGGGGAACCCCACATTTCTTTTCAGTGCCTGGACAGTTTCATTTTCTGTGTATGGGAGCAACCCTCTTCTCTGTGACTGGAGTCTTCGTCTCCACCACGGGATACCTCCTTGTGTGCCAGGGCACAAGTCTTGTGCCCCTCTGTCCTGTGAGTTTGCCTCTGTTCCTGCACTCTCAGTGTTTCCATCACTGGGCAGGCACCCTTGGCCCTTTGCATAGGAGCTGAGGGAGTTCTTGAAGCACTGAGAGGGTGCAGGGGGAGGGGTCTGGGGGAAAGGAAGGCAGGGAAGAGGGAAGGCATGAGGGGGAGGGAGGGACTCAAGGTTTTGGCCTGAGTTTGGGGGTGCAACAAAGGGGCTCCCTGAGGCCCCGGACCAGCTGCTCCCAACCCACATCTTTCATGAATGTCCACAGGCCTACAGTGCGTTCACAGGGAGGTCCCAGGTTCTGAGAGGTGACAGAATTCTTCAGAGCTAGCACTGGGGTCAGGACTGGGGAACTCCCTCATCCTATGGGGCTGCCCCATGGACAAGTTGTGGATTCGGAAGGGACAAAGGACATTCGGAAAAGAGGGGACCTGGGGGTGCAGATCGTTGGGGCCAGGGCTCTGTATAGGATGAATGAGAGCAGTGGCTCCCAGCCCACCCCACCTGTCCACACCTGCAGTGATGGCCCAGGCCTGGGTTTCCACCTCTGAAGCAACTGTTTCAGCCAGGAGCATCCTTGGGGTGGGGATGCCTTGTGGCTCAGCTTCCCAGAGCTAAGGGGAGCACCCATAGCCTCCTGAGTGTAGAAGCCATCCCATTTGGGGTTATTTTGTGTCAGGACAGGATAAGCTCAGCTTCCCCCTCACTAGCCCTACCCCTAACACCTACTAAAAACAGAGCAGGACAGAGGAGCCCTAGGTTCCAAGCTGGGAGAGAGGCAGTCAATAAAAACTCAAGCCCCAACAGGAAGGACTGCCTGAGATCACTGACCACACCTTCTCTAGCATAACAGAGAGGGGCCAGGAAAAAGGCAGCCCCTCAAATTGGCAAATTCTACTTAGAATTTGTACAAATTCAGCTTCTATTTGGGTACACTCTGGCACTTTTTCCATTCCAAGCTTTTGGGAAGAGTAAACAGTACTCCCACTGTCTTCACTTCCTCCTCACCCTTTGAACTCTGAGATGGGGGGCAGGGGGGAATCCGTTAGAAATTGTCCAGGGGTGTACAGGGCCAGTATTTGCTGCTCAGCAGAGCCAGCTGCTAAATAGCCAGTAATTCTGCTGGCTGGAAACCACTCACAGCTGAAAAACAGCCAAAGAGTGAGGATTTTCACCAGGGAAAGCTGCAAAGCAGAATGTTGGTTTTGCTCTTTTTCTCAGATAGCTGGTTTTCCAGTGTCCCTCTCAGGCATCCTAGAGCCTATACCATTCTCTTTGGGCTCAAATGGCAGCTCTGCACCCGAGCCCAGCTACACCCAGGAGCCTGTGTCTATCAGATGCTGGCCTGCTGGCCCCGGCCCACTGCAGGGCTGGTTCTCCCACCACCATTTTGCTCAGACTGCCTTTTCTTTTTTCTTTTCTTTTCTTTTCTTTTTTTGAGACAGAGTCTCGCTCTGTCACCCAGGCTGGAGTGCAGTGGCGCGATCTTGGCTCACTGCAACCTCTGCCTCCCAGGTTCAAGGGATTCTTGTGCCTCAGCCTCCCGAGTAGTTGGGACTACAGGTGCCCGCCACCACGCCCAGCTAATTTTTTGAATTTTTAGTAGAGACAGGGTTTCACCGGGATTTCACCGTGTTAGCCAGGATTTTCTCGATCTCCTGACCTCGTGTTCTGCCTGCCTCGCCTCCCAAAGCGCTGGGACTACAGGTGTGAGCCACCGCACCCGGCCTCAGACTGCCTTTCCTTCAGCCTCCATGACCTCCTGACAGCCAAGCCCTGGGCTTCCTGCTCCCCCTGTGCAGTGGACCAGGTGTAGTCTCTCCTCCCTCAGCTCCAAGCACACCCTGTTCTGTCCCCTCCTGCCTTTCCTCTGAAGTCCCCTCAATGGGCTCTGGTAAGGCTGTGAGCTTGCATTTCACAGAATGCTGACCACCCTTTACTTCTTTTCCTCCCCGCAGAGTGCACCTGAGCTAATCTTCTCCATTCTGGCAGCTTCAGTGGGTCTGGGGGTTCTGTCCGGAAGGGCCACTCACCTAGGCCCCCGCAGCCAGCAGTAGCTGCATGCACCATGCCTGGCCCTGCAGACTGGCAAAGTATAGGGGCACAAAGGAGTCCACCATGACCTGGTTCACAGAGGCGCTACTCTTGCTCAGCTGCTACAGCTGTCAGGTTTCATCCCACTGGGCTGAGTCCCAGAGCCAGCTGACCAGGGCAGTGCTCCTTTCTTCTTTCCTCCTGCAGGACCTTTGGGGTCTAGTCCAAGCACCCTTATTCTTATCTGCTGCTCCTCAGTTCCCAGCTGAATTAACTCCAAGGCCTCCCCATTCTCCAGGGCAACAAAGTTATGCCAAAAAACCAAAACCTCCCTGGGGCCACCCAGTGTTCAAGGTCCCCTTCTATGGTCTCATGACTGCCTCTCAGCCCCTGAGCAGGCAACTCTGTCCCTCCAATCATCCCTGCCACAGGAACACCCATCACAGGGCCCCTACCTCCTGGTGGCTGCCGAGTGACTGGGGTGACCTCAGCCCTGCCCTCCCCATCTCTGGACTCTGCCCAAGGAACTCTCATGGACACCCCCTGACCTGGGGCTCAGTGGGCTGCCAGCACCTGGGAGCCTGTGAGGCTGAGACCCAGCAGGCTGCACGTGGCCTGAGGGCCCCACTCTCTGGCTGGCAGACCCTGAAAGTGGGATCACACTGTGGGGGGTCCCTCAGGGTTTCCATGAAGAAGGAGCACCCCGTCCCTGGGGGAATGCAAGCAGAGTGTGGAAAGGAGTGTGGGGGCCTCCAGGGCCTTCCTGACCCCACCCCCAGGTTCTGAACGCTGGTGTATGGGGCCACTAGGGCACGGGGAACAGCCACCCTGCTGTAGGATTTAGATGTTTAGATATACGATAACACCGTCCCAGTCAGCACCCACAACACCCACCCTGAGGCCCACCCAAAAGCCACAGCCCATCTGCCCCAATGGGGGTGCAGGTGGGCAGAGCCTCTTCTGTCCTGTTCATCCTGAGCCCTGAGCTCCTCGCAGGATGGGATCAGATATCAAACCTGGAACAACAATTGGATGAACCAAAGAAGGGGAGAGAGCGCCCTAGGATCCTCTAGGTGGAGAGAACCCTTGGCCACTGCTGCTTGGCTCATGGCAGGGGGAGGGAGGGTGGGCCTGGGCCTGCCTGGCACTTTAAGAGGGCAGTTCTGCCCACCTTGAATGCCCCTCCTCCAGCCACCAGGGGAGGGATCCCCATTGCCCAGCAACAAAAGGCCCTTGGTGTGTACAGTGTCACCCAGGCAACAGGGAGGCACATCCTTCTCTGGGTCAGAGCAACTGGAGCTGCCCCATTAACTGCACCCAGCTGACCACACCCTTCACTGCCCCAGCCCTGATGGGCGCCTGGCACCACAGTGTAGATGGATGTGCTCCTGACTATGCACCTGGCACCACAGACTTTGCCGCCCCTGTAAGATGGACTACGTGGCTTGCAACACAGGTGACTGCACTCCTCAGGCCTGGCCACTGCGGGCTCAGCCAACCACCTGCTGGACGAGTGGTTCTAGAACTGCTATGGCCACTGCCACCAGGCCTTCGCAGATCACCAGCAGTCAGACTGCCAGCAGTCAGAGTGGTAGTGGCCCGAGAGCCAGCAACTGGCAGCCCAGACCCAGGCACAGGTGTGGTATGGGACTCCACGTCAGGGTGAGTGAGCACCTGCGGGATTCCACGGCTGGAAGTCGGAGCTGCAGCGTGAGGTGGAGGTGCTGGCAAAGAGTCAGACCTGCTGCTGGTCCAGAAGCAGCGGCTGGAGCACCTCCTGGACACCACTGCCCAGCCCTTCTCTATTGCCACAAACAACCTGCAGTGCTGCACGTGCCGCCAGCACCCTGACCTTGTGAGCTACCACATGGAGATGGAGTTGCTGAGGGTGCCACAGCCTTGGATCCCAGGACATGCAGGCACAGAGAGGAGGGACGCAGGCAGTTCATGTGGACAAGCCAGGTGACTGCTGCAGGCATGCAGGAGCCCAGGCCTCTGCACCCTGGACCCCTGAGTCCTGAAATCTGGCACCTTAGTCACAGGAGGCAGCTTTGTCCCAAGGGACCCTAGACATCCAAGCAGCTGTCTCTCCTCTGGGTGCCTGTCCTCCTCCAGTCCATTTGAGTTCAGGCACATTTCAGCCTGACCCTTAGCCCTGGGGGGCTGAGTCACAAGGCACCCCCACCCCAGATAGCAGAAATATAATTCCAGAAAAAAGGCGTGATATCTTCTGAATGACTCCAGGGGCTGGAAATAGAAACCCGGGAGTATGAGAAGCAAGAGTCAAATCTGATTCAAAAGTTGGAAAAGGGCTGGGGGCGGTGGCTCACGCCTGTAATCCCAGCACTTTGGGAGGCCAAAGCGGGCAGATCACGAGGTCAGGAGATCGACACCATCCTGGCTCACACGGTGAAACTCCGTCTCTACTAAAAATAAAAAAAAATTAGCCAGGCGTGGTGGCGGGCGCTTGTAGTCCCAGCTACTCCGGAGGCTGAGGCAGGAGAATGGCATGAACCCAGGAGATGGAGCTTGCAGTGAGCCAAGATGGCGCCACCACACTCCAGCCTGGGCGACAGAGCGAGACTCCATCTCAAAAAAAAAAAAAAAAAAGTTGGAAAAGGCTTTCAATTCTGCAAGGTATCCAGCCCTCCTTCAGAGCCTCTAGGGGTGGGTGGGTTGCCTGTTACATGGTTTCTCTACCTTCTTACCTTTTGCAAATTATCTTCTCCTGCCTAAAATACCCTTTTACTTTTGACCCAACTTTCTGCTTCAACTCTTTTGCTTGTTCTTATTTTAAAAACTCATTTTAGGACTCATTTCTGGGCAACTCCCACTAAGCACCTTCCTCTCACTCCCAACTCTATGCCGTTTCCAGAGTGCTCTGATTCTGTCTGTGTTCACCACCACCATGATCATCACCACCACCACCACTGTCACCACCATCATCATCATCACCAGTGTCACCACACAACCATCACCATCATCACCAATACCACCACCACCAACAACAACCATCATTGCCACCATCATCACTACCATCACCACCTCCACTATCACTACCAACACCATCAGTACCACCATCATAACCACCATCATTTTCACAGCAATTTATTACGATTATTATTGAGCCCTTTTTATGTGTCTGTCACTGAGATGAGTGCTTTTATATGCATTATATCACAACTACCCTATAAGGTAAATACTATCTCCATGCTCTATCTTCCCTACTCTGAACAGGATAGAGAGTAGTCTCAGTCTATTAACTGAGACTTAGATAAATAGATTAAGTTCCTTAAGGGATGTGTTGTGAATAAGTGAAGGAGCTCAAATTTGAACTCAGGTCTATCTGACACCTTATCATGTGGCTTTGTGATTGCCTGTTCTTACTTGGTCCTTTCCAACTCTGCTAAGAACAACCTGGTGAAAGCTAAGGCACAAAGGAGGAACTCTACAAACCTCAAAAACATTTTACTGCTGACTGAATATGCTGAATGATTGAGAAGAGGGTGTCATCTGCCCATACTGTAAGGGAAGGCAATATTGAGAAGAGGGAGGAGTGTGATGATTCCCAAACTGAAAGGACTCAAGCCCTAGTGAGCTTCCAATGGCCAGGCCAGGGACAAACCAGTGACAAGATGGCAAACGGCACAGGCAATGGCCTAAACCTCCAGGAGTTTCTGGAAACAGCCACTTCCCTTCCTTTGTTACTCTGTCATTTCTAGTTTGTCCCTTCACAGAAATAAGAGACACTTTAGCAGTAGAATTTGGAAGAAGCCTCAGACCATGTCCTTTAGGATGGAAGGGTGTGGTCAAAGAACAGAAGATGACATCAGAGGAAAGATGATGCTGGTTGGAGTTGAGGAACCAGCAGGAAAGGTCAGGAGAGGAAGGGGAGCCCAACCCCAGTGCAAGGGTCTGTTTGGGTTCAGATGATGGTAGCATAGAGCACAGACTTGGGAGTCTTACGGGTTGGGAGTTTAAACCAGGCTCTGCCACATAAAACATGCTTTTTTTTTTTTTTGAGATGCAGTCTTGCTCTGTCACCAGGCTTTAGTGCAGTGGCACGATCACAGCTCACTGCAACTTCCAACTCCCTGGTTCAAGTGATTCTCCCGCCTCAGCCTCCCGAGTAGTTGGGATTACAGGCAGGTGCCACCATGCCCAGCTAATTTTTGTGTTTTTAGTAGAGATGGGGTTTCACCATGTTGGCCAGGATGGTCTTGATCTCCTGACCTCGTGATCTGCCCACCTCAGCCTCCCAAAGTGCTGGGATTACAGGTGTGAACCACCGTGCCCAGCCTAAAACATGCCATTCTTTTACTTCTCTGAATCTCAGCCCCCTCACCTTTAATACAGAATTGTGTTACCTCCATCTCACAGAATGCCAATGGGAGGGTCAGATGAGTTAATATATGTAAACCCCTTTGCTCAGTACATGGCAGATGGTAATCTCTTATTTCTATAATAATTGCTCTTTTCATAATAAGACTCAGAGTCTGTGATGTTTGCTTAGGACACTTGGCAGGGAAAAGGGTGCCTATACAGGGAATCCAGAGGGAGTGAGGGGCATAGAAGCCATAGACAGATATTCCCAATTCTAATGGGTGGGATGGAGGTATAATAAGTGTAAGCAAGTGGATTTGGTATCCAAAGGGTCAGAAAGGAGGAACTGTGACAGAGAATAGCCATGACCTTGAGTTGAATGACTGCCAGGGTTACACCAGGCCAGACAAGTTCTAAACAGAAGCCAAAAACCAGGTTGGGATTCCCCTAGTCTGAACCACAGGTCAAGGTCAGACACTGGAGAGACATTGTCAAGTATCTAGCAGCAGAACAGAGCTGGAAGAAAATAGAGCCAGAAAAGGCATTGAGGGTATGAGTATCAAACCTAAGCTCTTTGAAAACTGCAAGGAACAAGATGAGAGACTGAATGGTGGAAGAAGGGGGCAAGGTGTCCACTCTTTTGGCCAAAAGATAGTACAGACCATTGATAAACCACAAAAGATAGTACAGACGATTGATAAACCATGTGGAACCCTAGCCGCACCACCTGCTAGCTTTATGAACTTTGGCAAGATGCTTAAACTCTCTGGCCTTTAGAGTCATAGTCTATTAACTGGGGATATAAAGGTAATAATACTACCTAACATGGAGAGTTGTGTGGAGATTCAAGGAGGGAATACACATTTGAAAGTGCCTGGAACATAGCCAGAGACCAATTAAGTGTTAGCTGTTGCTGTTATTTGATGAGCTCCAGCTCTAGGATTTTTAGAATAGGGTTGAAGAGAGTACCTGAAGTTTCCAATGTGTACATCACAACTCACTAGCGTAACAAAGCAGAGGGAATGGAGAGCAGGAGCCCCAGCTGAGAAACAGGAGCATGCTAGAGAAGAAGGCTACCTGGAATAGATTGTTAGTGAAGAAAGGCAGCGGGAAGGAGATGAGAAGCCAGGCCAAGCTGAGAAGAGGGTATCCACATCTGTGCTATTGCCAGAATCTTGGGGAGGATCGCCATGGAATCCAAATATCTGCATGCACATGCACGCACAGGCGCACACACACACACACACACACACACACACACACAAAACCTACAGTCATATTCCAGAATTGTTCCTTTCTTATTCTTTCAGAAACAATGAATATGGATCTGCAATGCTTCAGGGCCCTATGCTGGGCACTGTTGCCCAGGACTGATGTTGTTCCTTCCTCACAGAACGTATGGTCCAGTGGAGGAGAGGAGGCTTCCTGAAGGAGGCAGGATCCTGGCACTGAATAGGAGTCTGCTGCAGAGGAAGCCAGTGAGAGGAGTGTGGGATGGGAAGGTTTGGAGTATCTAGAAAAGGGAGTATAAGAAAGGCAAAGGGACAGCATGTGCAGAAGGCCAAAGGTGTAGAGGCAGCATGTCACATTGAAGAGGGTCAGGGTGCCAGCACCAGAAGAAGAGGAATGGGAAATGGGCACCAAAGGAGCAGGTGCTTTTATACTTACTGGTAAGGACACTGAAGCCCAGGGTACATAACCTGCCAAGGTCAATCATCAAGTAAATGGCAATACTGGAATTCAAACCCAAATAGAACACTCTCTGAAATCCCTGTTCTTATTCATTGCTGCCTGGACCTGCTGGGTATACCAAGGGCAAGCAGCCCCTGTCCAGAACAGCAGAAGGCAGGGGTCTCCACAGCTGCCGACACATTATTCTCCCTACCTAGGAAGGGTATTTGGGTGGGAGACTGGGCAGCCATTGGGGAGGCTATTAGGGAACCTCTAAGGAAAGTTTGAATAATTTTTTATCTTCCTTGTCTGGATAAAGTACAGTCTTGAAAACTGAAAAACCTTTGGATCAGAAATTTGAACTTGGTGCTGTCTTTCCTAAGGTGTCAGGAAAGATGAAAATAAAAGTAAAAATTATTTCTACAAACGAGAAGGCTTAAGGAAGATAGTTCATGCCAAATCATCAGCAAGTATGAAATCCTGACTTTAACACACCTGCTGTTTGTCATAAATTCCCTCTCACTGATGCCCACTCAACTTTTACGTATGGCACTCAATGTCAATCATCCCCACCTGGGCAGGATAGGCAAGGGAAGCAGGAGATCATGTCCGCGATGGTTACTGCTGTGGCCCCAGAAGAATCTCTGCCTCACGGCTCTTGCCCACTCTTCTCTGATTACCCTCTTCGTCTTCTTCAGTAGATGTCATTGTGTCAATTGATGTCCAACCACTGCTAGAAGTAACTTCATTTTTGTAGGACCTGGACAGCCTTGAAGATGGTGAAGTAGCCTAGTTTCAGTCTTTCTGGAATGAATTTAGGTTGATTTATGGTCATTTTGGTAACTTTTCACTTTATTTCTTCCTTTCTGTATCTTTTCTGACAGTTTTGTTGGCATGGGGTTTAATCATTAAATTCAAGTACCAATGAAAGGCTATTTTAACAAAGGCTTGGGCACTTTACTAAGAATATCATCATTCTTTCCTTCTTTCTTTCCTTTCTCTTTTCCTTCCCCTTGCCTTCTTCTCTTCTACCCTCCTCCTTCTCTTTCCTTCTCCCTCCCTTCTTTCTTTAAACACACATAGGGCACTCTCTAAGATGCCAAATTGCATGTTGGATGTGGGGGGGTGTAGTCTTTTTTTTTTTTTTTTTTGGAGACGGAGTCTTGCTCTGTCGCCCAGGCTGGAGTGCAGTGGCACAATCTCGGCTCACCGCAAGCTCTGCCTCCCGGGTTCACGCCATTCTCCTGCCTCAGCCTCCCGAGTAGCTGGGACTACAGGCGCCCGCCACCACGCCTGGCTAATTTTTTTTTTTTTTTTTGGTAGAGACGGAGTTTCACCATGTTAGCCAGGATGGTCTCGATCTCCTGACCTTGTGATCCGCCCATCTCAGCCTCCCAAAGTTCTGGGATTACAGGCATGAGCCACCGTGCCCGGCCAAGAAGGTGTAGTCTTATATGTATGAGAGACAGTCTTTGCCCTTCAGTTGTTCATAGCTTTAGAGAGGGGAAAAAGCAGGTAAAAAAATAAATATTTGTTGTCAATTGAAATGTAGTCCTGTGTGGTAAACCACTGGCCTTCAACAACTATGTCTTCTCATATTTTCAGGTCTATGAGAATATTCCAGCTTGGAATATTTTAGGACAAGAATACTCTAGGGCTGAACTCAGCTAGTCACTCCTGTTTTACATGACCAATAAGCTGGTTTGGCTCCAGGCTGAGAGCTTGGTTCATGTCTGTTCCCTGTGGATTCATTCTGCAGCCAGGCTAAAGGATCAGCAACTACTCAGGGCATTCTGTTCTCATAACGTATCATAGGAGCGCAGGAGGGCAAGCCCAATCATGCAAGCACATTTAAGCCTCTGCTTATATCATCCCTGCTAACATTCCATTGGCCAAAATAGGTCATATGGCCAAGCCCAGCCTCAGTGGGGCAGGAACCTATACCCTACTCTCCAACAATGGGAGGGCAAGCGACTGGATATTTGCCGAACAATATTTCCAATAAGCACAGGAAGTATCAGCAAAGGGATAGGTGTAGCACAGAGCACTATGGGGGTGCAAAGGTAGAGTACCTAAAACAGTGTAATCAGGGAAGACATCCAGGAGGAGGCAAACCTTTGGCTCTCAAGAAGTGAGCTGGTTCAAGGTATAGGATTGTGTGTTCAAGGCAGAAGGAGTTCTCCATTTAAATGTATTAGAGAGGGTCACAGGGCCCATTTTGGTAGCTAGTGTTTTGAGCACCTATACAGGGATGAGAAGAAACATTTTTGGAAAGAGGGACAAAGGCCAGATCCCAAGATCATGTCTTCCAGGACTTACAGGACAGATAGTGAAGGAATCTGGTAGTCAGAGGTGATGGCAAGGCCACAAAGGGTGCTAAACAGGGGAGGGAGTAGTCATGACTCCGTCTTTGAAAGATGGACCCTGGTGTGGATGATGAGTAGCGAGATGACCTGGATGGAGTGAGGCCCGTTGACCTACAGGTGAGAGATGAGAAGGGCATGAAAGGAAGAAAACAACAGGATAACGGGTTTAAGACATAGGATTCTCAGGTCAAAAATATGGAGGAGAGGGGGAGTTGAGAAAGACTTTGAGGTCTCTGTTATTATAGTTGCTCTGATAATTATTCACTGTTACTATTTGTCTTATGATAACTCGGTGAGATGTCAGTGATTTGACGATGGACAAAAAAAGGAACAAAGTGAGTTTTGCAAGCAATAGACTGAGAAATTTATATAATTCAGGGGCATGGTCCTTGATTGGGTTATAAAAGGATATGAACCCTTGGAAAAGAAAGCAATGATTACCATGAGGCATCACAGAAGACTGACTCTGCTCCCTTTCTAGTGGAGTTATTTGGTATGGGTGAAAGAACTAAGGTCTTGGAGGCACACCAGGGTCTGAATTCCAGGTTCAACACATACTAGTTCTGTGACTCTGAACAAAGTCTTTACACTACTCAGCAGCCATTAATTTGACCACTCTGGGACTCAGCTTCATGCTATATAAAATAGGAAAAAGTGTACTCAATGTGGTTATCACGAAAGTTAAAAAAGTTAATGAATGTAAGTGTCCTAGCTCAGGGTTTTCATCTCTCAACAGATATGTTAAGTGTTTACATGGATCAATTCATTTATTTTCATACTCCTTTCTGTAACAGTGCCTTCCCTTTTTGTTGTATTTCTTTTAGGTAACTTGAAGCTGCTGAACTTCTTCAAACACAGGCCCTGAGCCTGGCTGGGTTGCCTTCACCTCCTTTGGGACTCTCCCTCACTCTGATGTACAACAGGGTCCCATCTCAATAGTTTCCCAGTTTCTCACTGTATTTCAGCCCCATGCACTCCTCCAGAAGATATCTCACTAGCTCTTTCTCCAAAATGTGTTTACTGCAGAACACCATGTATTACCCCATGAAGAAGAAATAATTTTGCAAATATGGGGCCTTGACAAAGTTTCCAGAATCTTCCAGACTTCTCAGCTATTATGCATGAGAAGCCTCACATCCTCTCTGAGACAGTCATAAAAGTCCCTATGGGTTCATACTTCTAACATTATCTTTTCCTTGAATGTGAGGCTCTACAACCTCCTCTTTCATGAGGATATAGAAACAATTCTTCTCAGCATTAAAAGCCTGAGAATAAGTGTCCCTTTCACTCAGCTAGGGGAATTATATTTCCCCCGGTATAATGGAAATAGAATTATCACTGGAGTCATTTAAACTTAGATTCACATCTAAGCTGTGCTATAAAAGAGTTATGCAAAAAAGGTGACCTCTCTGCATCTCAGTATTCTCATCTGTAAAAGAGCAATTAATGCCTAACTCATAGGATTGCAAAGGAGGTTGGATTAATTAACAAATCTAAAGTGTGCAGTATAGGTCTGCTGTGCCCCATTCTCCTGCTTCCTCTGTTTCTACCTTCAGGGGCTACTAACATCCCTGATCTTTTTGGGGCTGTCCTGGCTTGAGCTACAGGGCCATTTAACAGCTTCAGACTACCAGCCAGAAGCATCTAGAATTAGTTTTAATGCTTTGGATCTGGTATCCAGGGTGCCCTGTTGAAGATCAAATTCTGACTTTCTCAAAGAGTTATATTCAAATGACTCTATCTGAAGTACTTTTCCCACTCATTCTTCACATGATCATGTCTATTTACTTCATTACTCTTACCACAATCTAGAACTACCTTGCTTATTTATTAGGATGTTTTGTACTGCATCAACTAGAATTTGAAGTACACGAGAGTGTGAGCTGGGTTGTTTCATTTTTGTTGTGTCCCCAGTGTTAGCACACAGATGTGTTATAAACGTTTTGCGATGAATAAATTCTCGTGTGTGCAAGGAGCAGCCATGGGCATCCACAGTTCTATTCAATTTTGACTTTGCAAAAGTCTTCCACCCATTGAATGATGTCTTATTCTTGGATAGCTGCCTTGGTTTCTCTACTTGGCTCTCCATTTCCTGGTGAGTCTCTGGCCCTGTCCTAACCTGTGGCTGACTTGGTTAGGGCTCTGATACTCTGCTCAGATCTTGCCATGCTCTTTCTTCAGTGAGCTAGCTCCTGAATCCTGAAGCCTCACCATCATCTGGAATCTTGCAACACCAGCTAGGGTGACCTAGTGATACAGCCTGATGCCTTCTTGAGTTCGTTTAGCTATGGCTTGTCTGCATCTTGCTCCTTGCCAGAGGGCAACTATGGCCAGAAATTACACAGGAGATTAGAAACTATATATTATGTTTCCTAACTATGTTGATAGAACCAGCGTTAGGAGCAAGTTCATGGCTGCCTCTTCCTGCTGCTTCTTCAACTTTGTGATCTTCATCATCATCATCACCATCATCACTACCATGACCCCCATCACTGTCATCACCAGCATTAACCATCATCACCAACATCACATCACCATACTCACCAACATCACCATCATCTTCACCATCATCACCATCATAATTACCATCACTATCATCACCATCATCCTTATCATCGCCAACATCATCATCATTATTGTAATTATTTGCACAGCATAGAGGTTAAGAACTCAGTTTATCTAGATTTGCTCCACCACTAGTTAAGTTGAGCTCACCACTCAGCCTGTCCTTACGTCCTGATCTGTACAGTGCAGATGATAATTTTACCATAAGCTTTTTTTTTTTTTTTGAGACAGAGTCTCGCTCTGTCACCCAGGCTGGCTGCAAACTCTGCCTCCCAGGTTCATACCATTCTCCTACCTCAGCCTCCCGAGTAGCTGGGACTACAGGCACCCACCACCACGCCCGGCTAATTTTTTGTATTTTTAGTAGAGACGGGGTTTCACCGTGTTAGCCAGGATGGTCTCGATCTCATGACCTTGTGATCTGCCCGCCTCAGCCTCCCAAAGTGTTGGGATTACAGGCGTTAGCCACTGCACCTGGCCCATAAGATGTTTTTATAAAGATCTAATAAAAATACAAGACAGACAACAAGTACAGTGTATACAATAGGCACTTTGTGTTATGAATATTATTACTAATAGTATCTACCATTTATTATATAAGAACGTTTACTAGAAATCAAGTATTGAACTTTGCTGAACTATTTCCATCCATTAATTCATCAATATTTAGAGAAATTCTGCTATATGTGAGGCACTATTCTGGACCCTAAAATGATGTTTTCTCTAGTAGTGGACACAACCGACAAGGCCTCCATTCTTATGGAGCTTATATCTCATGAGAAGACAATGAAAAACCTCATAACAATATTTTTATCTGGAAAAATTACTCCTATTTTAAATTAAAAACTAGCTTGGATTCTTTTTTTTTTTTTTTTGAGATGGAGTCTCGCTCTGTCACTCAGGCTGGACTGCAGTAGCACAATCTCGGCTCACTGCAAGCTCCGCCTCCCGGGTTCACACCATTCTCCTGCCTCAGCCTCCCCAGCAGCTGGGACTACAGGCACACACCGCCACGTCCAGCTATTTTTTTTTTGTATTGTTAGTAGAGACGGGGTTTCACCCTGTTAGCCAGGATGGTCTCGATCTCCTGACCTCATGATCCACCCACCTCGGCCTCCCAAAGTGCTGGGATTACAGGCATGAGCCACCGTGCCTGGCCAATGAAGGGATACGGTTCACTTAATAATCTCATAAATTGGAACTTATTACCCCTGAGCCTCTTGCATAGCTCCAGACAAATATTTGTGAGAGGTGAAATGGCTGTTTGCTACCAATATTTTATGTGATGCTTCATTTTTTGATTCCTCGAATAACTACTTATGATGCATTAACCCATTTGTGCAGAAGGTTGCAGTTTTTTGAATTTTTGCTGAGTGAAAAATCAGACCTTGGTGATGACCTTGAGCAGTAGGGAGCAAATAACTCCCACATGCATAGCATTGCAATAATGGAACACTCTTTGCATAAGTGGGTTAACAGGATCATGAAAGCATAGTTATTTGTGTAACTAATTATGCAACTATTTTTTTTCCTCAACTCTAAAACACAGTAAGGGACCAGTTATTTTAAAAATACACCACAGGGACAAGTAGTTTCTTTTTAACTCAGTTTTGGTTTGTTGTTTGTTAAGGCCATTGGTTGGCATAAAGAAAACAAAAACAGGAAGAGAAACAAGAATAGAAAGATGAAACAGAAGCAGCAGCAAAGAAAATGAAGAGGAACAAGAAAATAAGAAGAAGAAAATACAAACTGGAAGAAAGGAAAAAGAACAGATGTAGGAATTGGAAGGCCTATTATGATACCTTTTATCCCTTCCCCGATTCATGACATTTGAAAAAGTCCAAGACTATCACAACAAAAAACAAGCAAAAAGATACACAAATAGTTAAGAATCTGTGTATCTTTTTGTTAAGAATGAGACAATGGTGCCACTCACGCCTGCCTCAGGCACTAGCAGGAGGAGGGCACCCTTTAGAGATGGCAGGAAAAGGGGGAGGACTCCTTCTTGCTCTAGGTGCACCTCCACCACTGCCACCATGGCCCACAGTACAGCACCGGCAAGTTCCTCCCCACCCCAGGTCGGGCTGGGTCCTGCAGTGCTCCAGATCCCCAGACTTGCTGCTGCTACCACCACTAGCACCGATGCCAATACAACTGCTGTCGCCCTCAATGCGCCAGCCCACCCTGCAAGGATCCTACCACCTGGACCCGCAGTAGCCCTCCTACTGCTCCGGGGGAGCTGCAGTCTCTGTTGCTGCCACCAACCGCATAAGGCGAGCTGCAAAGCCATGCCATCTGCAGGCTCCAATGTACCATAGATGACTCCTCCTCTTCCTCCTCCTCCAGCCTGGCTTGGAGCAGCTAGATGGGCAAAGCTAGAAAAGCCTAAAACGGGATGCAGGGAGTGGTAGCATTAGAGCCTCACCTTGTCACGCTGGCCACTGGGTGGCAGGGACCAGTTTCAGCAAAGGCACTCACACCCACCCTCCAAAGTCCAGCCTCTCCTTCTGGCAAAAGCTGGCCAGGAACTGGGGCCCAGGGTGAGTGTGTGTGCCTTTGCTGAAACCAGCCCTAGGTCAGGTCCTGCTGGACAGAAATTGCTGGGTCCACCAGGGCTGCACTCCTCAGGGAGCAGGAGTAGGAGAAACTCAGGCCCAGCCAGCCCTGCCCACCCAAGTTCTGGTTCCCGTTCCTGATGCCTCCACCCACAGTGCCCTATCCCCCCACCCCCACCACAGTGGTGCCCACTACTCCCTGCCCAGTAGTCCCAGGTTGTCTCTGCAACACAGAGCATGAGAGCATGGGCCAGAGAACCACGGTGGGTGTGGGGGCCCTGTCATACTCAAGATTGTGCAAGGAGGAGGAGATCACTCTCTAGAGTCTGGAATTGGGGAAGAGGAGAACGGTCCCTTCCTTGGAGACCACCTGAAGGAGGAAGGAGGCCACTGCTGTCACTGCCACCTCCGCAGCCTGCCAACGCCACTAGCAGTGTAGCCCCTGATAGCACCCCTAACCTGCCGCCTGCTGCCTGCCACCAACAGTGTAGCCCCTGGATAGCACACCAAACAAACCCCGCACCAGCTGCAGGGTGTGTAACCCCAATATCCCCCCCAAAGCACCCTCCCTCCCCCAGAGCAGGCAGTGTAGCACCCAATAGTGCCCACAACCTGACCCAGCCATGGGTGTTGCTGCACTAGATAGCACCCGAAACCTGCCCCCCCAACCCCACCTCGAGCAGTGCAGCTCCTGATAGCGCACCCCCAGTCACGGACAGTGCAGCACCCGACAATGCCCCTAAACCACCCCCTACTGCCAGCATTGTAGCCCCAAAGAACTCCACCCAACCCACCCCCTGCCACCGGTAGTGCACAGAAGATAGCACCCCAACCCATCCCCCTCCACTGGCAGTACACGTTAGTGCACACAACCTGCCTCCCCACACCACCCCCACCACTGCAGGCAATGTAGCCCCCCATAGCCAGCCAACCTGCCCCACTGCCAGCAATTCAACCCCAGAGAGTGCCCCCAACCAGTCTCCTGCCACAGGCAGTGCAGCCTCTGGTGGTGAGACCCAATGGGACACCCAACCCCTGCCCCCAGAGGCAGGCAGTGCAGCCCTGGAAAACTCACCTACCCCACAACATTTCTACCACTCTAGCTGAGCTGTAGTGTCCGACGTCACCACCAACCCCAGCGAGGGGAGCCTCGGTGGCGCAGGCTTCAGCCTCCAACATGCGGCAATGCCTCTCCCTTCTCCTTGTCCTCCAGCCTGGCAGGAAAAACTCCCACTGCCCGTCGCCCTCCTACTGCTCCGTCGCCACCACCAACCACAGCTAGCCAGTGCCCCGGGCTCCAGCCAGTGGCAGGCAGTGGCCTCTTCTCCTAGTTCTCTAAGCCACGTACACAGCGCTAACACAGAAGAGCCTAAAATGACCTGACACTGCCTCTGCATGCTTTATATACTGAGGTTACGCACCTGCGGTTCCTGGACTACATGTTCTGATTGGATGAGAGAAAACCCGAAGGCCTACTCTAATTGGACTTTACTTTCATGCTGTGATTGCTTGTTTTAAGACTTGCTCTCATCCAATCAGAACATGATAATAAAGTCCAATCCGAGTAAGCCTGGAGGTTTTTTCTCATCCAATCAGAACATGCAGTACAGGAACCCCCATGTGCATAACTCTGATGCCGAAGGGAAGTCAGGCCCTTCCAGTTTCCCATACCTTCGTGTTGAGTTGCTCAGTCTCTGGCTTAGAGGACCAGGAATGGGAAATCCCCAGCTGTAGGCTGGAGCGTGCAACACTGCGGCCCACCTCGCTGCGGTTGGTGGTGGCAACAGAGACTGCAGCGTGGCTGGACTGTTGAGCTGCTCAGTGCCTGGCTTGGAGGACCAGGAATGGGAAATCGCTGGCAGTACGCTGGAGGCTGGAGCTTGTGACCCCACAGCTCGCCTCCCTCTGGTTGTTGGTGGTGACTGTTGGTGGTGGCCACGGAGACTGCAGCGCGGCTGGAGTGGTAGGAGAAGGAAACTAGTTTTGGGATAGATGGAGGGGGCTAAACAGCGTGGTTGGTGCCAAAGGGAAAAGAGGGTAGCGAGCACGAGAAGGCGTTGCAAAAGGACGGTGGGGAAAAGATGGTGGGGAAAAAGTTTTGGGGTAGATGGAGGAAGAAAAAGGGTGGCGAGAGGGAGGGGGCCAAAGGCGGTCGGGAAAAGAAGGTGGGGAAATAATGGTGGGAGACAAAGGTTTTGGGTAGATATTTTTCTGATTTTTAAAATCAGATTATTTGTATTTTTGCTTTTGAGTAGTTTTATTTCTTTATTTTTTTTTATTAACCCCTTGCCTGATGCATAGTTTCCAAATACTTTCTGCCATTCTCTGGATTGTTTCTTAATTCTACTGCTTCCTCCACCTTGCTGAAGCTTTTAAGTTTAATGTAATTGCATTTGTCTATTTTTGCTTTTGTTGCTTGTGCTTTTGATGTCTATTTGAAAATTCCTTGTTCTAACCAATTGAATGAAGCATTCATTCTATGTTTTTTTCTCCAGTGGTTTCACAGTTTCAGGTCCTAAATCTTTGAGTTGATTTTTGTGTATGTTAAGATAATGGTCTAGATACAGTCTTCTACATGTGGGTTGGGCTTTCGTAGCACAGTTTATTGAAGAGATTGTCCTTCCCGAATGTGTGTTCTTGGTGCCTTTGTTAAAAATGAGTTCACTGTAAATGTGTGAATTTCTGTTTTCTGTTTTATTTGTCTATGTCTGTCTGTCTGTCATTCGTCTCTTTCTCTGTCTCTCCTGCCCCGCTTTTTTTTGACAGTACCATGTTGCTTTGGTTACTATAGATTTGTAGTATATTTTGAAATCAGGGAGTGTCATGCCTCCAGCTTTTTTCTTTTTTTTCAAGATTATTTTGTCTACCTGAGGTATTTTGGATTTCCATGTGAATGTTAGTTTTTTATTTCTATGAAGAATGTCTTTTGTAATTTAACATGGATTGCACTGTTTCTGTAGATCACATTGGGTGATATAGATATTTTAACAATATTCTAGTGCATGGACATAGGATATGTTTCCATGTACTTGTGTCTGCTTTAATATCTCATCAATGTGTTATAGTTTTCATTGTGGGATCTTTCTTAAAGAAGAGATGTAGTTGGTTTCCTTGCCTAGATATTCAAAAGTTGATAGGATTTTATTCATGGTATAACATAGTTAAAAGTATTAAACATAATTGTATTTAGTTTTGTTGAATACCTATTTGTGTGGTATATTACATTTATTTTTGTTAATATTAAATTTTAAATATTTTAAGTGTACTTGTGCATCTTATATATTTATATTATATACCATTATTTTACTTTGGATTCTCTCATTTAAAGTCATAGCCAAAGTTATCCTATTATTCATTTTTTGTGCTATACATTTAATATTTTCGTATATTTCTTTTTTCTATTTTCAGCTAGTATATATTGCATTGTATTTAAAACCACCACAAGAGGCAGGAAATGGGGAGTTGTTACTCAGTGGCTTTAGAATTACAGTTTTGCCAGATGGGAAATTTCTGCAAATCTGTTGCACAGCAGTGTGAATATAGTTAATACTTATGATCTGTACACTTAAAATGATTAAGATGGTAAATTTTATATGTATTTTTGCTATAATTTAAAAACCACCATCACAGGTTTGAAGTATAAATAGTAACTTATTTTGTATAATATTGAGTAGGTTCACATCAATAACAAAAGCCTAATACTAATAAGAGCTAATTGACTTATTTATAATATAGTCAGTGATGGAAAAATTCAAACTCACTGTTACCTCAGATATATACATTTGAAAGTTATGACATTTATCAAAGAAAATGACAAATATTTAAAAATATTTGAATACTTAAATATCATGCTTACTGTTTGCAGAGTTTTAATCACTCTATGAAAGTAAATTATTAGGGTAAAACATCATGCAAAACATATTTCCTGAAAAATATATACTTGTCCTGTGCTATTAAAATATTGATAATCAATAAATTCCAGAGTTCAATCCAAATTCAATCTCTTGACAATTCAGGAAAGTCACAACATGAAAAATTCTATTTCTGAAATATTGAAGCAAGCATTGATAAAACTAGTAAGTGAGAAGAGAGGCTTTGTCATAGCAAAAAATACATATGTACATTTAAAAAATTTCGGGCATAATTATTTTTGTATCTTTTTGCTTGTTTTTGGTTGTGATAGTCCTGGATGTTTTCAAATTTTATGAATCAGTGAGGGAAAAATAGATTTATCGTATAAGAGGGTTTCTAAATTCCCTCACCTGCTTTTTCTCCTTTCTTCTTGACTTGTCTTCATCTTCTCATCTTATTCTTGCTCCTCTTCATTTTCTTAGCTGCTTTTTCTATTTCTTGTTTGTATTCTTATTTCTTCTCCATCTCTTCCTCTTCCTTTTTTTCTTTTTTTCCCTACACAATGGAATTAACAAACAACAAAGCAAAACTGTATTACAAATAAATGCCAGTGTGTTGTATTTTTAAAAAATAATCTGTCCATTACAATGTTTTAGAGATGTGGCAAAAAGTTAGTTGCATAACTAGATACTGGAATAGCTATGTTTTTTTAAAGATCTATAACCCTACTAATATGTTGTAAATAGTTATTCAAGGAATAAAAAAATTTAATGCTAATTTTATATTAGCAGCATAGAAAATATTAGTGGCAGAAACTATTTCACCTCAAAGCTAAAAGGAAATTCTTATATAACATGATAAATAATGCAACCACTATGCAAGAAATCACAATATTATCGTTGTATTTGTCTAAATGTTATTTGAGAATCTTCAGTGCACATATTTAAGAATTAGCTTTAAAGGAACATTTTTTTCCATATGATAAATCATACACATGATAAACTTAGACCAACATTAATCTTATTAGGAAGAATAAATTAGAGAATAAGTACTCACTAATGTTTTGGGTTATATATACCCTTTTCAAATCTGTTGAAATTTTGCATTCTTTGATGAAAAAAATACACTATGTGAGTTTATTTTATGTCAGTTATACCTCAAAACTGTTATAAGTAATTTATTTCAACTGAAATGATACACCTTACTTTTGATCTAAGAATTATGTAGTTTTTGATGCTGAATCTTTACCAAGCACAAATTCATTGACTTGTAGCCAGTCAGTCAGTTCAAGTAAAATCATTAAACACATTCCTGAACTATGCAAAATAATATTTACCATATTGTTATGTGAGTTTAACTTGATTTATAAATATTAAGGTAAATTAACTTAATTTCTTTTCTACGCTAATGAAATAATGTCTTAGCAACAAATCTTGAATATCTGAGTTTGATCTGATATCACAGAAGAAGGTCTTCCAAGCACATATACAAAGAAGAAAAAAAGAAAATATTAATGCGTTGGAAATAAACAAAACTAATCTGCAGCCAAAAAGCTTATAAAATAATTAACAAAAGGTAACAAAATGGAAAAAATGGCTTTTAAATAAACCATACCTGATAAACCAGATAAATCTTACCCATTGGCTACAAATTAGTTACAGAACTCTAAAAAATGGAAAGTGATCAAAACATATAAAAAGACCAAAAATTGCAAATTTCTACAAAAATAAAAATATACTTAACCTCATTATTACAAAAAAGATAAGTATGTTCCTTTTGCCTCCACAATTGATGGATTTTGAAATGACACAGATATTGAGAAAAATGGGTAGAAGATAACCTGTTACACACTTCTATTGGATGTGAGAACACACAACATGTCTACAAAAAAATTTTAAAACACAGCTAATAATTCTATACTAGTATAAGTTGTTCCATAACAAGACATACAATACTGTAGATCAGACAACTAAAGATATACAAATACTGTGGCACAGACAAAGTAGAAATATATATTGTCACATATTAGTCTGGATATATGCAAAAGTCACATGGGTAATAAACTCCAATTTACGTGATCATTAAGTGAACTATATTTGCGGAGTCCTGATTGGGGAAAAGAAGTCAGGCTGGTAGGAGCAAGGGAAAGCAAAAAGAGAAAGCAGATAAGCCACAAATCTGCCTTTCTTCATGGTCCAGGACTCATAGCTGTCCTGCACAAGTAGCTCACTGTCTTCCTGTGCCCAGCTATCACCAGACACCTGCAAGTTAGCTCACTGCAACCTTCTACACAAAGCCTTCTTCAATAGACAGCATGAACACCGTGCTATAAAATCTCTGGCAAGCTTTTGTTTCCTTGCAGTGAGCTTCTGCTGACTTGCCCATTGTCTCCCTGGTAACATATTTTTCTACTTTCTCTAATAAATCTGCCTTTCTTTACCTACAACTCTCTTTGTAAATTCTTTTACCCCTACACCACCAGCCATCATTCTCCCACAACAATATTCTTTTCATTTTATTTCTCTGCCATCATTTCCAAAAGTATTGTCATCTGCATGAACAAACCTGGTTTATCACCATGACTTTGCAACGGGAAGGGGAAGGGGGTAGAAGATGAAGTGCATGTTTTAAGGCCAAGATTTAGTAAAGTCAGTGATCATTTCCACTCATATCCCATTGTTACAAACTGTGGCACATAACCATAGCTGTTGGAAGGTAACACTAGCCAATAAGTCCTCTAGATGGATAATTAAAATAACTTTAATTATTAGCTTTATTCATGGTAGTTTATTCACTTTCTTTTTTTGTTTTTGTTTATATTTTTATTCCGATTGGTTTTTGGGGAACAGGTGGTATTCGATGACATAAATAAGTTGTTTAGTAGTGATTTCTGAGCTTTTGGTGCACCTATTACCCAAACAGTATGCACTGTACCCAATGTGTAGTCTTTTATTCCTCACTCCCCTCCCCACTTTCCCCCAAGTCTCCAAAGTCCATTATATCTCATGCCTCATGCCTTAAGTGTTCCCTTTTCACAATATGCATGTCAACATCTATTTTTTATTATTATGGCCATTCTTGCAGGAGTAAGGTGGTATCACATTGTGGTTTTGATTTGCATTTCCCTGATCATTAGTGATGTTGAGCATTTTTCCTTATGTTTGTTGGCCATTTGTGTATCTTTTGAGAATTGTCTGTTCATGTCCTTTGCTCACTTCTTGATGGGAGTGTTTGTTTTCTTTTGGCGGATTTGTTTGAGTTCTTTGTAGATTCTGGATATTAGTCCTTTGTCAGATGTATAAATGAATTCAACAAAGTTTCAGGATACAAAATTAATGTACAGAAATCAGTAGCTCTGCTATATACCAACAGAGACCAAGCTGAGAATCAAATCAAGAACTCAACCCCTTTTACAATAGCTGCAAAAAAAACCACACACACACACACAAACCCTCTTAGGTTTATACCTAAACAAGGACATGAAAGACCTCTACAAGGAAAACTACAAAACACTTCTGAAAGAAATTATAGATGACACAAACAAATGGAAACACATCCCATGCTCATGGGTGGGTAGAATCAATATGGTGAAAAGGACCATACCGCCAAAAACAATGTACAAATTCAGCACAATTCTCATCAAAATACCACCATCATTCATCACAGAGCTAGAGAAAACAATCCTAAAATTCACAGGAAACCAAGAAAGAGCCCACATAGCCAAAGCAAGACTATGCAAAAAGAACAAATCTGGAACATCACATTACCCAACTTCAAACTCTGCTATAAGGCCATGGTCATCAAAACAGCATGGTACTGATATGAAAATAGGCTCATAGATCAATGGAAAGAATACAGAACCCAGAAATATAACCAAATACTTACAGCCAACTGATCTTAGACAAAGCAAACAAAAACATAACATGGGGAAAGGACACCCTGTTCAACAGATGGTCCTGGGACAATTGGCAAGCCACATGCAGAAGAATGAAACTAGATCCTCATCTCTCATCTTTTTTTTTTTAAGGCTTGTTTTATTTTAATGGCTGATCTATGTAATCACAGAGGGCAGTATGTACAGACAAAGGGGGAGCTTTTATTTCTTGGTCTCTTCCTCTTTGGGCAGTCTTGATGATCTCTTCCTTCTTGGCCTGGAGGCACTCTTCAAGGTGCTTGCGTGCCTCCTAGGTCTTAGACCTGGGGGCCTCAGCCTGGTCAGCCAGGAGCTTCTTGTGGGCCTTGTCTGCCTTCAGCTTGTTGATGTGTTCCATGACAATCCACTTGTTTTTGAATACATTCCCCTTTACCTTCAGGTACAGGCTGTGATACATGTGGCCATCAATCTTCTTCGATTCACGGTATCTTCTGAGCAGCCGGTGCAGTATTTTCCTCATCCATGTGACCTTCTCTGGTATTTGGGCATTGGCTGTACGCTTCTGCTTACCTATGCCCATGTGCCTGCCCTTCCGGCAGGCCAAGGTGTTTTTCCAGCATTGAGCCTGGGAATGGACAATCACAGGCTTGTGGATGATCAGCCCATCTTTGATCAGCTTCTGGATCTGCTGATGAGAGTTGGCATTAGCAATTTCATTGGTCTCAATGGGGTCCAACTAGACCTCCTTCTTGCCACAGTGGAGGACACTAGAGGCGAGCCTCTTCTGAAGCCTGAGCAGTACTCATGGCTGCAGCCGCAGCAGCAGAAGGAAAGAGCTCTGTCATCTTATATAAAAATCAAGTCAAGATGGATCAAAGACTTAAATCTAAGACCTGAAACCATAAAAATTCTAGATGATAACATCAGAAAAACCCTGCTAGATGACTGGCTTATGCAAACACTTCATGACCAAGAACCCAAAAGCAAATGCAACAAAAAGATAAATAGATGGGACTTAACTAAAAAGCTTCTGCACAGCAAAAGAAACAATCAGCAGAGTAAACAGACAACCCACAGAGTGGTAGAAAATCTTCTCAAAGTTTATTCACTTTCAATCAGTTCTAATTGAAAGTTGCCACATCCAAAAAGCTTTTGTGGTCATAGTTCTTAAACTTATCAAACTTCCTCTTATATTTAATGTTGCCTATATTCTCCCAAATCTCCTCTGTCAGAAATTCAATGGTAATTAATTTTATGGCATCTGAAACCTCTTATTTTGATATGCAGATTACCTGGCAATCATGCGGATAAATAAAAATAATGCAGTGCGCTTCAAAAGTTTCTAAGCAAAGCAACTCCTTCTTTTTGTTGTAGTTTTCACTTTTAGAAGTAGATGCATTTTTATACCAAATTCTCGAATTTGATACTCACAGAATGTTTAATTTTGAGGGTTCTTTGCATATTATGGATCCCAGCACTGGTTGGAGACAGAATTTGCAAATCCAGGCAGACTAATTTTATTGCACTTTACTTTATTGCTTTATTTTTATCATATTTTGCAGATATTGCTCTTTTCTTCTTTTTTCTTTCTTTCTTTCTTTTTTTTTTACAAATTGAAGGTTTATGGCAAAACTGCATCCAAAAAGACTGCCATTTTTCCAATAGCATGTGCTCACTTTGGGTCTCTGTGTCACATTTTGGTAATTCTCGCCATATTTCAAACATTTGAATTATTACTATATCTGTTATGGTGATCTGTGATCAGTGATCTTTGACGCTATCATTGTCATTGGTTTGGGGCACCATGAACAGCACCCACATAAGACGGTGAACCTAATCCATACATGGTGTGTGTGCTCTGACTGCTGCACCAGCCAGCTGTTTATCCAGCTGTCTGTATCTCTCTCCTCAGACCTCCCTATTCCCTGAGACCCAACAATATTGAAAATACAATAATCTGTAAGCCTGCTATGGGCTCGTAAGTGTTCAAGTGAAAGGAGGAGTTGCACATCTCTCACTTTAAATCCCAAACTCAGCTACCGAGGAAAGCATGTGGAAAGCTCAGACCAGCACGCTAGGCCTTTTGCACGAAACAGCTAGCCAGTTGTGAATACAAAGGAAAAGTTCTTGAAGGAAATTAAAAGTGCTAAGCCAGTGAACCCACAAATGATAAGAAAGCAAAACAGGCTGGGTGCAGTGGCTCACGCCTGTAATTCCAGCACTTTGGGAAGCCAAGGTGAACAGATCTCTTGAGCCCAGGAGTTTGGCCAGATCAGCCTGGGGGCAACATGGTGAAACCCTGTCTCTACAAAAAATAAAAAAATTAGCTGGGCATGGTGGCACATGCCTGTAGTCCCAGCTACTCGGGAGGCTGAGGTGGGAGGATTGCTTGAGCCTGGGAGGTCAAGACCTCAGTGAGTAAAGATCGTGCCACTGCACTCCAGCCTGGGCAACAGAGGAAGACCCCATCTCAAAAAAAAAAAACAAAAAAAAAAAAGAGGAAGAAAAAACAGCCTTATTGCTCATATGGAGAAAGTTTGAGTGGTCTGGATAGATCAAACCAGCCCCAATATTCCCTTATGCCAAAGCCTAATCCAGAGCAAGGTCATAAGGCTTTTCAATTTCATGAAGGCTGAGAGAGGCTAGAAAGCTGCAGAATAGAAGTTTGAAGCTTAGCAGAGGTTGGCTCATGAAGTTTAAGGGGGAAAGAAGCCATCTCCATAACATAAGAGTGCAGGGTGAAGCAGCGAGTGCCAATGGAGAAGCTGTGGTAAATTATCCAGAAGACCTAGTTCAGATCTTTGATGAAGGCAGCTACACTAAACAACAGATTTTCAATGCAGATGAAACAGTCTTCTACTGGGTAAGATGCCATCCAGATCTTTCATAGATAAAGAACCAAAGTAAATGCCTTGGCTTCAAAGCTTCAAAGGACAGGCTGACTCTTGTTAGGGGCTAATGCAGCCAGTGACTTGAAGTGGAAGTTAGTGCTCATTTACCACTGCAAAAACCCCAGGGCCTTAAAAATTATGCTAAACCCACTCTTCCTGTGCTCTACAAATGGAAAATCAAAGCCTGGATGGCAGCACATCTACTTACAGCATGATATGCTGAACACTTTAAGCCCACTGTGAGACCTGCTCGGGAATAAAGCTTCCTTTCAGAATATTACTGCTTATTGGCAATGCACCTGGTCACCCAAGAGCTCTGATGGAGATGTGCAAGGAGATGAATGTTGTTTACATGTCTGCTTACACAACATCCATTCTGTAGCCCATGGGTCAAGGAGTAATTCTGACTTTGAATTCTTATTAAGAAATACATTTTGTAAGACTATAGCTGCCACAGATAGTGATTCCTCTGATGGGTCTGGGCAGAGTAAATTCAAAACCTAGAAAAGAATCACCATTCTAGGTGTAGTTAGACATCTAGAACATGTGTGATCCATGGGATGAGGTCAAAATATCCACATGCACAGGAGTTTGGAAGAAGTGGATTCCAACCCTCATGGGTGACTTTGAGAGGTTCAGGACTTCAGTGGAGGAAGTAACTGTGGATGTGGTGGAAATAGGAAGAGAACTAGAATTAGAAGTGAGGTGGCCAGGTGCGGTGGCTCAGGCCTGTAATCCCAGCACTTTGAGAGGCCGAGGTGGGTGGATCACGAGATCAGGAGATCGAGACCATCCTGGCTAACACGGTGAAACCCTGTCTCTACTGAAAAAAAATTAGCCAGGTATGGTGGCACACACCTGTAGTCCCAGCTACCCAGGAGGCTGAGGCAGGAGAATCGCTTGAACCTGAGAGGCGGAGGTTGCAGTGAGCCGTAATTGTGCCACTGCACTCCAGCCTGGGCGACAGAGCAAGACACCATCTCAAAAAAAAAAAAAAAAGAAGAAGAAGAAGTGAGGCCTGAAGATGGGACTGAATTGCTGCAGTCTCAGCATCAAACTTGCATAGATGAGTTGCTTCTTATGGATGAGGAAAGAAAGTGACTTCTTCAGAAGGAATCTACTCCTGGTGAAGATGCTATGCACATGGTTGAAATGACAAAAAGGACTCCGAATAGCACAGAAACTTGACAAAGCCACAGCAGGGTTTGAGATGATTTTGAAAGTAGTTCTACTGTGGGTAAAATATCAAACAACACTGCATGCTGCAGAGAAGTCTTTTGTGAAAGGAATAGTTCTTCAATGTGGCAAACTTAATTGATGAATCTTGTTTTCAGAAATTGCTGGTCACTCAGGAACCACCACCCTGATCAATCAGCAGTCATCAGCATCAAGGAAGCAAAGAGATTATGTAGGACTCACTGAAGGCTCAGATCTTCTATAGCATTTTTAAGCAATATTTATTTAGTGTTTTTTTTTTTTTTTTTTTTTTTTTTTTGAGATGGAGTCTCGCTCTGTCACCCAGGCCGTAGTGCAGTGGCTCAATCATAGATCACACCAGCCTCTAACTCCTAGGCTAATGTGATCCTCACACCTCAGCCTCTTGAGTAGCTGGGACTACAGGCGTGTGCCACCATGCTCAGCTAATTTAAGAAACTTTTCTTTGGTAGAGATTTGGTCTCACAATGTTGCCCAAGCTGTCTTGAACTCCTAGGCTCAAGTGATCCTCCCACTTCAACCCTCAAAGTGACATTTACAGGCATGAGTCATGGCACCTGGCTAGCAATAAGGTATTTTAAAATTAAGGAATGTACATTGTTTTAGAGGCAATGCTATTGCACACTTAATAGACTATAATATATGTAAACTCCACTTTTGTATGCACTGGAAAACCAAAAAGCTTGTGTAACTGGCTTTATTTCCCTATTTGCTTTTATTGTGGTAGTCTGGAACAGAACCTGAAATGTCGCCCAGGAATGTCTGTCTTTTCTACTGGTTTGTATTTTATCATTTAATCCTCTTAAGATAGTCTTTCACAGAACCTAGGTTTTAAGTTTTGATGAACTCTGATTTATCCAAATTTTTATGGGTCATGCTTTTGGTATCAAGCCTAAAATATTTATCCAGCTCTAGGTCCCCCATTTTTCTTTTAGAATTTCTCCCTTAAAGTTTTATAGTTTCATGTTTTACATTTAAGTGTGTGACCCATTTGCAGTTAGTTTGTATGAGTGAGGCGAAAGAGTATTTCATTTAACAGTTCATCAACATTTACCTTATTTTAAAAACTCCATAAATTCATAGTATTGTGTTGTATGGATGTACTAGGATTTATTTAAGTAGGTCCCTCTTAATGCCTATTATTTCTTCTTTCTTTCTTTTTTTGTTATTATGGTAAGTAATGCTGAAATCGACATTCTTTCTTTTTTTTTTAAGAGATGGGATCTCACTGTGTTGCTGAGGCTGGTCTCCAACTCCTGGCCTCAAGCGATCCTCCTGCCTCGGCCTCCCAAGGCACTGGGATTACAGGCGCAGCCACTGAGCCCACCTGAAATCGATGCTCTTATACAAATATTTGCACAACTGCGGCCCACACCCATTTGTTGTCCTTTGGCTTGGTCGCACTGCAGAAGATAAATTTGGTGTGAATGCCGTGGTTAGCTTCTCAGCCATGTCCTTGATGGCTTCTGGGCTTTGTTTTAAGGTTTAGAAAGAACTGCACTCGGAAATGGTGGCGTTAAAAGGGACTCATCCACTTTCTCTCGCAGTCCTTTCTTGGTTTCAGGTTTCAGGTCCATGCCTGCCAGGAACCCGTTGGGCAAGTCCTGGCCAGGCGCCCCCGGCCTCCTCGCCTGGAGCAAGGCCCTGTCCTCTCCGGAGCTGCGACCCCGCAGGCGCGGCCCCGGAGCTGCAGGAGGAGTCGGTCGCCTTCTCGCAGCTGCTCTCGTGGGACCGGAGGTCCCAGACTATGAACAAATGGTCCAAGTGCCCCCTCTGCTGCCGGGGTCGCACTGTGCCTGGCTGTGGCGTTGGGGAGCTCCAAAGCTGGGGCTCTGGGGTGGTGTCGGGGCCCCTCCGCCCACCCGGGCCGGGACGGCGATCCCAGGTGGACCCGGACGGTGTCGGGCGTGCGGGTGGCAGCTGCGATGGCCCTCGCCAGCCTGCGATCTCGAGCCGTCCCGTAGGTGTTTGCGCCGTTCATCGCGCGCTTGCTAGTGGCCTTTTTAAGTACTTTCCCGGGAGCTTGGCCGAGGCTCCATCCCAGGGCGCGGGCGGACCTCCAAGTCACCTCCACGCGGTAATCTCATCACTGCGATGGGGGGCAGTTTCTCACTCTCCCTCACGAAGTTTAGGACCACATGAAAGTCCTGAACATGCTTCCAGTAGGACCTGTTAAAAGGTGAAGCCTTGGCCTGGCGAGTGGCTCACGCCTGTAATCCTAACACTTTGGGAGGCTGAGACGGGTGGATCACGAGGTCAGGATATGGAGACAATCCTGGCCAACATGATGAAACCCCCTCTGTACTTAAAAATTCAAAAAATTAGCTGGGCGAGGTGGCACACACCTGTAGTCCTACCTACTCGGGAGGTTGAGGCAATGGAATCGCTTGAACCCAGGAGGCGGAGGTTGCAGTGAGCCGAGATGGCGCCACTGCACTGCAGCCTGGAGACAGAGCAAGACTCCGTCTCAAAAAAAAAAAAAAAAAGTGACGCCTTTAAGGACAGAGATGGAATGGGCATCTCAGGCAACGTGGTCCTAGTGACAAGGTATTTGGGGGATGAGACAGATACAGGGCCGCCCTCCTGTACCTCCACGGGTCTTTTCACGTGACTCTGGCTGGGAAGAGGGCAGGGCAGGCGTGGGGCTGGGTATGGGTCCGGGCAGCCAGCGACCACAGGGAGGGCACTGCAACCAGGCACAGGCTGGGAAACCGCGCAGAATCCGGCAAATCAATCAATCCTCCGAGCATCTTTACTACTGAGGCCAGCCCGGGACCACACGCTGGCCTCTTGCCCGTTTGCTTCTGCTTTTTTGTTTTCTTTTCTTTGCTTTCCCTTTCCTTCCTTCCCCTTTCCTTGACAGGGTCTAGCTGTGTCGCTGAGGCTGGGGCTCAGTGGCCCTCTCGGCTCACTGCAGCCTCGGCCTCCCAGGCTCCTGCGCTCCTCTCGCCTCACCCGAGCAGCTGGGACCACAGGCGTAGCCACCACGCCGGCCTCGGCATCTGTGTCCTGCGCAGTCCCCTGCGGGAGTGGGGTCAGAGACTGCGGCCAGGCCTCTTGGTTCCAGGTAGCACAGCAGGGCCCTGCCGGGCGCGCCCCCTGGGGCAATCTCCCATGCTCTCGGGCAAAGAGCAGCAGCCATGGGCCTGGCCATGCTCTGAGGACGGAGAGGGGAGCCCAAGCCCAGCCGCCGTCATTCGCAGTGTCCCGTGGGAATTGTTCCAAGTTCACCTTCCGAAGACAAGGAACGGTCTCTGCACATGTACGTGAGGGGGCCAGGAAGAGGCCGGGCCACCTGTGGGGCAGCTGCATGCCTTCCTCGGTCTGCGGGTCCCTCCCCGCGGATCCCTCCAGGGTGCCTCGGGCCTGGCGGTCGGGCACCTTCTGGCAGCCACTTTCTTTTCCTGGCTGTGTCCGCAGGCTGGCCTCCAACTCTGGTCTCAAGCTGTCCTCCTGCCTCAGCTTCCCAAAGCACGTGGATTCCAGGCATGAGCCACAGTGCCAGAGCTGGAGCCTGTATTTTAATTTATGAATTAGTCTGAGACTCTGGGAGAGTTTCTTCATCCTGTATCTCCCAGTGTCCTAAACGACCCATGACTGAGTCCTGTTTATCCCTTCTCCAGTATGAATTCCAAAAGGCTTCTCTCCATTTCCACAACCGCCAAACCACTGGGCCCTGAGGGGGTGCACTATGGGCAGGGACGGGCAGCCAGAGACCAGCTCGCACCTCTGTGGCATCATCCCAGGGGGTCCCACAAGCTTCCCCTGTTGCTGCCAAGTGGCAGAAAATCCAGAAGGCCTCCCAAGCACAGCCCTGGTTGGGGCTGTGGTCCTCTCCTGTCGGGCGAGGACAAATGAGGTCATGGAGAGGTCAAGATGTCACACATGGGATTAAGGTCACAGAAGGGTGAAGTCAGTCTCCTGGTTGGGAATCAGGGGCTCCCTGGGGGGAGTCTGTTTGCCTTGAAGAGACAGTGTCCAGTCCAACAGGGGTCACTCACTGCGCCTCCTTTGGCTCCTTTTGAGCCAGTGTCCCTGTGACACAAAGAACAAGAAAGAGCCAGTCACGGCAGGGGAAAGACAGGATTCAGGAGTGCAGAGGCCAGGTCCCAAGTCCACAGCAGCCTCGAGTTCCTACACAGGAGGGGCAGGCCTGAGGAAATCTGGGGACATTGGAGCTCTGGAAGTGTGGGGAGGAAGCACTGGAGGCATGAGGACAAATGGGGACCCTGAGGACTTGGCGTGTTACACTGGAAGTCAAGGGAGGCAACAGTGGGGTTCAGGATTTAGTGCAGGAACAGAAGCAGTGCTCACGGGGAGGCCAGGGAGTCTCCAGGACCAATGGGGTGGATGCTCCTGGGGTACCCTAGGGAAGGACCTGGCTCAACTGGGCCCTCCTCCCCCCAAACTCCAGAGCATCTGCTCCCTCACCCACAGCTGAGTTTTAACCCCATCCTCCCACTCCCCACCCCTCCCCCCACCCTCCAGGACCAGGCCCTGTACTCACCTCTCCCTTTCTGTTCAGGGGAGCCCTGAGGGCCAGGAAGACCCTGATCCCCATTCTCTCCCTGCTCCTCCAGGGGGCCCAATCAGTCCAGTGAGACCTGAGCGGCCCCTAGAGAAGGGAGCAGGTGGTCGGGGAACACAGGAGGAGTCACATGGATGGGGGAGAAAGGCCAAGACACAGAGAATGCCCTGGGCACAGGGTCTGTGGGTGGCCCTCACTGAGCAGGGACCCCGGGGCCTGGCGGCTGGGGGCCTGGAGCAGAGCAGGCCCCTCAGAGTCCCACAGGCTTCAGGGCTGAGGGTGATGGGAGACACACCTGGCCATGTGTTTGTCACTCACCTCTTCCTCGGCTCCAGCATCGCTCCCAAAGCCAGGAAGCCCTGGGGGTCCCTTTGGGGAGACAGGAAGTCCCTCTCTCCAGAGAGAGGCGGTAACTCGGTTCTCCCATCGCCTCCCACTTCCTGCAGGGTCTTAGCTGGCTGCCTCAGGGCGCCCACCCTCACCCCTCACCAGCCCCATCCCAGTCACTCACCACAGGACTGGAAGGCCCAGCTTGGCCTGTGGCTCCAGGTCGGCCTTGCTGACCCTGCAGATTTGAGGGGACCCCAGGGATGAGGAGGAGCACCCCACATTGCACTCCTCTCCGGGCTTTTCACCCTCCTCCCCAAGCCCAGCCCTCGCCTGCAGTGACTCACACTGAACCCCAGAGCCCCTCAGACCATCAGCACCAGCTGGGCCTGTGGGACCCAAGGCACCCACAGCACCTGGAGGCCCTGAAATGCACACAAGGAACGTGTCCTGAAAGGCAGCAGAGGGGATGTGAATTGGAGCAGGGGTTCAAAGTGGAAGGGGTGAGGCAGGGAGGAGGGCCCGAAGCCTGGGAGCCCCAGAGCAGCAATAACTATAGGAAACCCCATCCCCAGGAGGGGTCAACATGGGATACATGGATGGGGGTGGGTAGACATCTGGAGACGAGGCACCTGAGGGGCAGGAAGGCAGAGGGGAGGCTCCAGCACCCAGGGGCAGCCTCTCTTTCACCTGGGCTTTACTCCTCATTGGCTCTGGGGACCAGGCATGCCAGTGAGACCCTGCAAATGGGACGGGAAGGGAGAGAACATGAGGCCTAGGCAGCCAGGCGCCAGTCTTCCCCTTTCTGTGCTACACACACACACACACACACACACACACTGCACACATGCACATACTATAGACACATTGCACACACATGGCACACACACACAGATGCAGAGGTCCTGTTGTGAAAATGCAGAGGCGTCTGTGCATTTGGGGAAGAGCCAGTCGCCCACACCCCACCTGGTGGCCCAGGTTAACCTCTGGCCCAGCAGAAAAGCTGGCCCGTCCCTCCACCAGTGTCCATTGATTGGTCAGTAAACATGACCACCGCTGTTGAGAACATGTTCACCAAACCTCAGGAACAACATACCCAGGAGGTCACAGACTCATAAACCCGTGTGCTCATGCCCCCCCGCCCCATGCACACATCAGGGACAGCACAGATAGCAGGCATCTCCCTGCCCGCCCCACCAGCCATTGCCCAATCTCTACCACATGGCCCAGGGACTGCCTCCCAGGGTCCCAGAGCCCACCTCACTCACCCACTTGACTAGTGGCCCAGGGGGTCTGTTCTCCCCAGTGGGACCAGGGAATGCCTAGGAAGAGAAGAACTGGGATGGGTGTGTGTTTGGCCTCCAGCCAAGGGACCTCTCAGGCGTGGGTATAGAAGAGGGCTAAGGGGCTGAAGGCTGGGGCTCAGTGGGGGTGGTGGGGTCACTGGTCATTCACAGATTGTCCTGGTTCGCCATCCTTGCCACAGTCACCCTTAGCACTGTCCTGGCCCTGCAGGGGTGAAGCAAGGCCAGAGGAGGCCCCAACCTGGCTGGCATCACCCCTAAAACTGCCAATCCTCCCATCCCCCTGCCTGTCCTGCCATATCTCCAGCTTCCCAGTACCCAAGCCCATTAGCCACATGGAGGCTCCTCATAGAAGCCCCACCCTCTTTTCCCCTTCCCCCTCCCTAAGACACCCAAGTCACCTTCTCCAGGGGGGTCAGGGTCTCCAGGAAAATCAAGACCCTGATCCAAAGAGAGAACAAGGATCAAGGTCACAGCCCCTTAAGCCCGCTCAACACAGACTACCACAGGCACATGCCACCCTCTCCCTCTGTACAGACAGTGCCTGCCACCTTGCCGGATCTGTCCCACAGACCCTGGCTGATGGATGAAATGAGTACTCAGACACAGGTATGCAGTGTAAGGCAGCTAGGTGACTGCCCAGCCCCAGTGGCCAGAGAGCAGCTGTGAGAAGCTGGAGCTGCTTGCTTTTATTCAGTGCAGGCACAATGGTGAAAACCTGGAGCCGACACAACCTGTAGGTAATTAACATTTATTGTTCCCCTTTCAGGGAACGTCAGGCGCACGGATGATCAAAGGTCAGTTCCTGGTTGATGTAAGTGAACAATCTTGTTTAAGAAAAATTCCCCCACACTCCCTTGTAGCTACTCCTTGCCCTCTACCTCAGGGTTATAGAACAGCTGCCTTCAGCTATTCTCCTCCTGGGGCTCTGTAGAAACTTCCGACCTTTCAGAAGGTTTGTGTCCTTTCCCTATAGTTTTTCCCACCACTCTGACCAATCCCCCACACCGCCTCCCTAGGAAGAGGGTCTCTTTTATCGGAGTGTGATGAGATTTCCTGAGGGGTTATTAGACCCTGTTTCGTGAAGGAATAGGTGGTGGAGAATTGTTAGGGCTATAATGATGAAAGGTAAGATGAAATGGAAGGTGAAGAATCGTGTAAGAGTGGCTTTGTCAACTGAAAATCACCTCAGATTCACTGGGCAAGGTCAGTCCCGACATATGGAGTAGCTGATATTAGGTTTGTGGTTACTGTGGCGCCTCAGAGTGATATTTGGCCTCATGGAAGCACATAGCCTATAAACGCTGTTGCTGTGGTTGTAAGCAAGAGAATAATGCCAGTGTTTCAGGTTTCCAAATATGTGAATGAGCCATAATATAAGCCTCGGCCGACATGTAGGAAGAGGCAGATGAAGAATGTTGAAGTACCGTTAGCGTGAAAAAAGCGGGTAATTCAGCTGTAGTTCACATCTCGGTTAATATAGGCGACTGAAGAGAAAGAAATTGAGGTATCTGGTGTGTAATGTATGGCCAGATATAACCCTGTGATGATCTGAAGGATTAAGCAGGTGCCAAGAAGTCAGCCCAAGTTTCATCATATAGAGATATGAGATGGAGTGGGGAGGTCGATGAGTGAATAATTAATGATTTTTATTAGTGGATTTGTTTTACGTATTATGGTCATTAGTGTTCTTATAGTTGAAATATGACAATGGTTTTTCTTATCATTAGTCATGGTTATAATCCATGTGGGAATAATGACATACGCTTTGTTCTGATTAAGTGTTCTTTTGGTTATGGGATTTGTAGGTTTTTCTTCTAAACCTCCAATTTATGGGGTCTTAGGGTTAATTATTAGTGGTGCTATGGGTTGCGTTATTGTACTAAATTATGGTGGGGCTTTTATGGGATTAATAGTCTTTTTGATTTACTTGTAGGGGATGATGGTTGTTTTTGGCTATACTGCGGTGGTGGCTATTAAGGAATATCCAGAGGAGTGAGGATCAAGCATTGTGGTTTTAGAAACGTTATTATTGGGTTTAGCAGTAGAGTTGGTGTTAAGTTGATGAGTGAGTATGATGGACTGGTGATTGTAGTTAATTTTAATAGTATGGGAAGTTGAATAATTTTTGAGGGTGAGGGGCCAGGGTTGGTTCGTGAAGATTCTGTGGGTGCGGGTGCTTTCTATAATTATGAGTGTTGATTGGTGGTGGTTGCTGGTTGAACATTGTTGGCTGGTGTTGATGTTATAATTGAAATTACTCAGGGCAACAGATTAAATACTTAAGAGTAAAGTCAAAAAGGATGGAATAAAAAAAGAGGAAATAAGATTTAAATAGGCCTTTTTGAGTACTTATAGTAACGGAGGCTGTGATTTGGGTTTGTGAAGTTGTTTTTGGTATGGACTTTTCTAGTCAAATTAGATCTAATAGAAGTGATGCCAGGTTTTGGCTTGTAGATAGGCTTGAGTGAGGGGTTATACAGTGAATTGTGATTGAGTAAAATCCTAATATGTTAGAAAAGTTGAATATTTGTAATGGGTGTTTTATTGTAAGATTATTAGTTATAGAACTCAGTTCTATAGCCAGTAAAAGCCCTAGGATGTTTACACCTAGGGCTGCAAGTTTTAGATGAGGTGCTATTGTTGTTTGTAGGGATGAAGCAGGGACAATGCTATTGGTGAGGAGAAACCCAGCGAAGATGCTGTCAACTATAAGGTGTTTAATTGGATTTATTAGGGAAGGAATATTTTCATTAATGTTGATTAGGGTTGGGAAGTGGGGTTGTCCTATTAGGGCGAAGAAGATAATCTGGATACTATAGACGCTTGTTAGGGAAGTGGCAATGAAAATAATAAGAGAGGGCTCAGGCGTTGGTATATGACGTGTTTGCAGTTTCGATGATGAGATCTTTAGAGTAAAAGCCTGTGAGGAAGGGCATACCCATAAGTGCTAGGCTGCCAATAATAAGGGAGGAGAAAGTAAGGGGTAAAGTCTTAAATAGTCCTGTTTTTCAGATGTCTTGTTCATCGTTGAGGCTGTGGATGATGGATCCTGAACACATAAATAATATAACTTTGAAAAAGGCGTGGGTGCAGATGTGTAGGAATGCTAGGTGTGGTTGATTAATGCCAATTGTGGTTATTCTAAGGCCTAGTTGACTTGAGGTGGAGAGTGCTACGATTTTTTCAATATCATTTTGTGTTAAAGCACAGATTGCTGTAAAAAAGTGGTAATAGCTCCTAGACATAGTGTAAGGGTTTGGATTAACACATTATTTTCTATTAAGGAGTAGAAACGAAGAAGTAGGAAAACCCCTGCCACAGCTATATTACTAGAGTGGAGTAGGGCTGAGACAGGGGCTGGGCCTTCCATGGCGGAAGGAAGTGAGGAGTGGAGGCCAAGTTGGGCTGTTTTTCCTGCTGCTGCTAAGAGAAGGCCAATTAATGGAAGAAGATCGGGGGTAGGATTTAGGATAAATATTTGTTGAGGCTCTCATGTATTGGAGGATGTGAGGAATCATGCTATAGCTAAAATGAAGCCAATATCGCCAATGCGATTATGTAGGATCACTTGCAGGGCTGTTGTATTAGCATCTGCTCAGCCATGTCATCAGCCAGTTAGTAGAAAAGACACAATTCCTATGCCTTCTCATCCAACAAAAAGTTGAAAAAGTTGTTGGCGGTAACTAGAATTAATATTGTGGTGTGGAAAATAAGTAAATATTTGAAAAACTGATCAAAATTAGGATCTGACTTTATATATCATATTGAGAATTCTATAATCAGGTGACAAATAGTGCTACTGGAATAAACATTATGGAGAAGTAGTCTAGTTTGAAGCTTAATGAGCGTTTAAAGGTTTGGATTGTTATTCAATATCAGTTTGAGATGATGGGTTATTGGTCTGTATATATAAACATTGTTGTGGGAATGAGGCTAATGGTGAAGGTGCATGCGATAGCTATTTTTATGTAATATGGGTACGAGTTCTTCTTGTAAGGGTTTATGAAGGTAATAATAATTGGTAAGGTTAAGGAGATTAAGGTTATTATGGTAATACGTGATTATTACTTTTATTTGGAGTTGTACCAATATTTTTGGTTCCTAGGACCAACAGAGAGCTCTTATCCTCTAAAAGTTGAGAAAGCCATGTTGTCAGGCATGGGGGCATGAGTTAGCAGTTCTTGCACACTTTCTTGGTAAATAAGAAGCAGCAGACTTCTATTATTAGATCCACAATCTAACATTTTGATTAAACTGTATTTGTAGGGTATAGACTGTATAATAATTTTAGGGTTTAGAGATAATAGGAGAATAGGTGAAAGGTGTATAAATATTAATATATTTTCTCATGTAAAGGAGGGCTTAATACTGTTAATATAATAAGTAAGTGTTCATCGTTGTGTTGTGACAAGTATGTGATGGAGATAAAGGGCAGTGATTAATATATTACATCCTATAAGCATAATGGTAATATTTGATCAGGAGAAAGAAGCCACTATTATGAGGAGTTCTCCTATTAGATTAGTGGAGGGGGGTAAGGCAGGGTTAGTAAGATTTGCTATAAGCCATCAAAAGGCTATTAGTGGAAATAATGTTTGAAGCCCTCGAGAGAGTAATATGGTTCGGCTGTGGATTCGCTTGTAGTTTGAATTTGCTAGGCAGAAAAGTAGGGACGAAGTAAGTCCGTGGGCAATTATGAGGATAATAGCAAGATAAAGCTTCAGGGGATTTGAATAAGGATAGCCATAATAACAAGTGCCATATGGCTTACGGAGGAATATGCAATAAGTGACTTTAGCTCAGTTTGTCATAGACAGATAGAGCTTGTCATAACTATACCTCATAAGGATAACGTGAGGAAGGGATAGACTATATATTCTGTCAGGGGGCTGAGGATAAGGGTTAAGTCGTGTTATGCCGTAGCTGCCTAGTTTTTAGGAGTCCTGCTGCAAGTACCATTGAGCCAGCAATAGGGGTTTCTACATGGGCTTTAGGAAGTCATAGGTGAAGTCCGTATAGGGGTATTTTTACCATAAAAGCCATTATACACACCATATAAAGTTGTCAGATCAGGAAATCAATAGTTCTTGGGTATTAAAAAATGTTATTATTATTATGCTCAGTGAGCCTAGGATATTTTGGGTGTAAGTAAGTATAATAAGTAGGGGGAGAGATCCTACTAGTTTGTAAGGTAAGAAATATGTGCTTGCATTGAGGCATTCTGGTTGGTTGCCCCAGCGGGTAATAATAATTAAGGTGGGGATAAGTGTAGCTTCAAAGAGAATATAAAATATAATTAGTTCCGTGGCTGTAAATGCCATAATTAGAAAAACTTGTAGGGAGATCAATATGGAAATATAGAGCTTTTTCTGTGGGAGGGATTCACTGGAGAGGTGATACTGGCTTGCTATAATTATAAGAGTTAATGGCCAGGCTGTTAAGATTAGAAGGGGTGATGTTAGGGGATCAGAGGAGAAAAGTTGATGAGAAGTTGAATAGATTGTCGTTGAATTGATTAAAGAATAATAGGGAAATAAAGCTGATAATTAGGCTGTGAGTGGTTATATTGATCCAGAGTATAGGATTATCAGAGAGTCATGTTATTGGTAGCAGTATAATTGTTGGAATGATAATTTTTACCGTCGAAGTAAATTTAGGTTATGCACATAGTTTAAGCCATATGTGTTGGAAATTGAAACTAGTAAGGCAAGGCCCACTGCGGCTTCGCAGGCAGCAGATACTAGTAGGGTGATGGGTACTACGGTTGCTAGGGTAAAATGTATATTTAAAGTTAAAAGGGTATTTATGATGAATAATGATAATATTATTCCTTGTAGGCATAGTAGGGATGATATTAGGTGGGATGGATAGATTAATACCCCCAGAAGTGACATGGTGTATGTGAATATAATATTTATGTAAATAGAGGGCATTTGGTAAACATGTTCTATCATAACTAATGAGTCAAAATCATTTATTTTGGCTTAAACTACTTACCAATTCAGTTCAGTCTAATCCTTTTTGAGTTCATTCATAAGTTAACCCTAGGATTAAAATGATAACTAGCATAAGGGATGTACTAATTATTAGTGTCAGGTTGTTTGAAGGGCTCATGGTAAGGGTAGTAGTAGGGCGATTTCTAAGTCAAATAGGAGGAATGTGATGGCTACTAGAAATGATTTTGTGGAGAAAGGAATGAGGGCAGAGGATAATGAGTCAAATCCGCATTTGTAGGGGCTGGATTTTTCTGTATAAATATTAAGTTGTGGGAGCCAGAATGTAATAGCTGTAAGTGACAGGGCTAGTAGGGTGTTGATTACTAGGGCTAGTGTTAGGTTAATTACTCTTTTTCAGATACTATCGAAACTAATTGATTGGAAGTCAATGGTACTGTTTATACTAAAAGAGTAAGACCCTCATCAGTAGATAGAAATATATGAGAATAGTCATACTACATCTACATAGTGTCAATATCAGGCGGTGGCTTCAAAGCCAAAATGATGGCTGGATGTAAAGTGGTATTTTAACTGGCAGAGAAGACAGATAGTAAGGAAAGTTGATCCAATAATGATGTGAAGTCCATAAAAGCCTGTAGCTATAAAAAATGTTGGGCCATAAATTCCATCAGAAATAGCAAAGGGAGCCTCTAAGTATTCTGAGACTTGTAGGAGGGTGAAGCAAATGCCTAAGATAATTGTGAAAAGTAGTGCTTGAATTACTTGTTTTCGATTATTTTCTATTATGCTGTGATGGGCTCAAGTAATTGAAACCCCTGATGCAAGTAATACAGATGTGTTCAGGAGGGGTACTTCCAGGGGGTCGAGGGGAGAAATGCTTGTTGGAGATCAGTGTCCTCCTAATTCTGGAGCTGGGGCTAGACTAGAATGGTAGAATGCTCAAAAGAATCCAGCAAAGACAAATACTTCTGAGATAACAAATACGACTATTCCACATCGGAGGCCTTTTTGAACAGTTGTTGTATCATGGCCTGGAAATGTACTTTCTCGGATAATGTCACATCACCATTGATATATAGTCAGTGTATTGGTTAGTAGGCCCAGGGTTAAAAGAGTAATAGAGTTAAAGTGAAGTCATATAGCTAGGGCGGATGTTATTAGGAGAGCTGAGAGAGCCCCTGTTAATGGTCAAGGGCTGGGTTTGACTAAATGATAGGTGTGTGTTTGGTGGGTCATTATGTATTGTCATAGAAATAAAGGCTTACTAAAAGCGTAAAGACATAAGCTTGGATAAGGGCCACAGCAGATTGGAGCATGGTTAATAGAATTAGAATAATAAAGGTGATTGAAGCTGTGGGAAGGTTAGTAGTTGATAATACTAGTGTGGCTCCTCCAATTAAGCGCATGAGTAAGTGACTGGCTGTAAGGTTGGCTGTTAGACGTACAGCTAGTGCTGTTGGTTGAATAAATAGACTAATGGTTTCGGTGAATACTGGTATAGGAATAAGTGGTATGCGTGTGCCTTGTGGTAGGAAGTGAGCTAAGGAGTTTTTAGTTTTAAAGCGGAAGCCCGTGATTACTGTGCCTGCTCATAAGGGGATTGCTGTAGCTAGATTTATTGATGGTTGGGTAGTTGGTGTAAATGAGTCTGGTAGGAGTCCAAGGAGATTGGTTAAGGCAATAAAGAGAATTAGAGATATCAGTATAAGGGATCGGGCTTGTCCTTTAATGTTACGTATA
Organism: Homo sapiens; assembly: GCF_000001405.40. NCBI lineage: Eukaryota > Metazoa > Chordata > Mammalia > Primates > Hominidae > Homo > Homo sapiens. Next base: position 453,239 of record NW_025791762.1, on the reverse strand, counting down.
ATTATTTGTTTTAGGATAAGTTGAACTAGTCATTGTTGAATAGAAATTAATCAGTTATTGACTAGATAGTTGGAGGTTGGAAGGAGTGTGGAGGGGAACAAGATGATTAGTGCTGCTGTGGGTAACCCTAGGATTGTTGGGGCGATAAATGAGGTGAACAGATTTTTGTTCATTTTAGTTCTCAAGGGTTGTTATGTTTTTGTACTTTAACTGTTTTTGGTGAAGGGGGTGTATGGTAGATGAAATTTGAAATTTTTAATTGAATAATGGAAAATAAAGTTACGATTATTGATACAATAATAGGTCATGTGGAGGTATCTAGCTGAGGCATTCACTCTAGAGAGGTATGATTTCTCTCGATCTTTAACTTAAAAGGTTAACACTGGGGTAATTTTACAGTGATATTATCGTGTGGCTATAGATCAAGTTTCAAAAGTTTTTAATGGAACTAGTTCTAGAACAATAGGTATAAAACCGTGATTAGATCCACAGATTTCTGAGCATTGTCTGTAGTTGAAGCCTGGTCGTGTAGTGGTTAAGGTAAATTGGTTTAAGCGTCCAGGGACTGCATCTGTTTTTAAACCTAATGAGGGAATAGTTCATGAGTGCAGGACATCTTCAGATGAGGTTAACATGCGGATGGGAATTTCTATTGGGAGGATTGTTCGGTTATCGACTTCAAGGAGTCGGAGTTCTTTTGGTTTTAGGTCTGCTGTTGGAAGCATATAAGAATAGAAGCTTAACTCTTCATAATCTGTACACTAGTAGCTTCAATACCATTGATGTCCGATTGTTTTAACGGTGAGAGAAGGCTTATTGACTTCATCTGTTGTATATTACATACGTAGGGATGGGAGGGCAGTTAAGATTAAGATGCTAGCAGGCAAGATCATTCAGACAGTCTCTATTTCTTGGGCATCTATGGTGCTATTGTTAGTCAATTTTATTGTGAGTATTAGAGAAATAACGTATAGAACCAGGGAACTAATTAGGAAAACAATGACAAGGGTGTGGTCATGGAAGGTAAGTAGTTATTCTGTAATAGCAAATGAAGCATCTTGAAGACCTAATTGAACTGTATGGGCCATTAAGATATATACGGCTTAACCTATAACTTAACTTTGACAAAGTTATGAAATAATTTCACTAATATCTTATTGAGAAGGTCACAGAGGTTATGGGATTGGCTTGAAACCAGTCTGTGGGGGGTTCAATTCCCTCCTTTTTCACTTAGGTCTTCATGTAGGTTGGTTCTTCGAATGTGTGATGGGTTGGTGGACAGCCATATAGTCATTCTAAGTGGGTAGATGGTTGCTCAACTATTAGAACTTTTCATTTTGAAGTGAAGGCTTCTCAGACCATGAAAATTATTAGTATTACTGCTGTTAGGGAAATAAATGAGCCTAGGATGAAATAATATTTCATGCGGTGTACACGTCAGGATAACTGGAGTAACGTCAAGGCATACCAGATAGGCCGAAGAAGTGTTGTGGGAAAAAAGTTAAATTCGCACTTACAAATATAATAGCAAAGTGAGTTTTAGCATAGATTTGATTGAGTATAACCTGAAAATAGAGGGAATCAGTGAACAAAGCCTCCCATAATGGCAAATATGGCTCCTTTTGATAAGACATAATGGAAATGGGCTACAGCATAATATCATGTAGTACAATATCCAGTGATGAATTGGCTAGTACGATGCCGGTTAGGCCTCCTGTTGTAAAAAGGAAAATAAATCCCAGGGCTCAGAGCATTGTGGGGGATCATTTGATACTACTGCTGTGAAGTGTAGCTAGCCAGCTAAAGACTTTGACACCAGTAGGAATAGCAATAATTATAGTAGCAGAGGTGAAATATGCTCATGTATCTACATCTATTCCTACTGTAAATATGTGGTGGGCCCATACGATAAACCCTAAGAAGCCAATTGATATTATGGCTCATACTATGCCCATATACCCAAATGGTTCTTTTTTTTTCCAGAATAATATGTTATGATATGGGAAATTATCCGAAGCCTGGTAAGATGAGAGAGACTTCGGGGTGACCGAAGAATCAGAATAAATGCTGATATAAGATAGGATCACCTCCACTAGCTGGGTCGAAAAAAAGTAGTATTAAGATTGCGGTCAGTTAACAATATAGTAATGCCAGCAGCTAGGACTGGGAGAGAAAGGAGTAGAAGAACTGCTGTAATTAAGACTGATCAGATGAAGAGGAGTGTGTGATATTGGGACATGGCTGGGGGTTTATATTAATAATTGTGGTAATAAAGTTAATAGCCCTAAAATAGAAGAAACACCTGCCAAATGGAGTGAAAAGATGGTTAAATCTACAGAGGCTCCCGCATGTGTTAGATTTCCTGCTAAGGGGTGGGGGGGTGGGGGTAGACTGTTCAGCCGGTTCCAGCGCCTGCCTCTACTATAGCGGATGCAAATAATAGTAGGAAAGAGGGTGAGAGGAGTCGGAAACTCCTACTATTTATGCAGGGAAATGCTATATTGGGGGGGCAATTATCAGAGGAACTAATCAGTTGCCGAAGCCTCCAATTATAATTGGCATTACTATAAAGAAAATTATGACAAATGCATGAGCTGTAATGATGACATTATAAATTTGATCATCTCCTAAAAGAGTACCTGGTTGGCCCAGTTCAGCTTGAATAAGGAGGCTTAAATCTGGACCCACTATCCCTGCTCATGCACTGAATAGTAGATAGAATATCCCGGTATCTTTATAGTTGGCTGAGAACAGTCAACAGTTGGTGAACATAAGTGAAGTGAGAAAAAGGTAAAATGGCTGAGTAAGCATTAGACTGTAATCTAAAAACAGAGATCAAGACCTCTTTTTACCAGCCCCGAGGTGATTTTCATGTTGAATTGCAAATTCAAAGAAGCAGCTTCAATCCTGCCGGGGCTTCTCCCACCTTTCTCCCCCAATGGCAGGAGAAGTAGATTGAAGCCAGTTGATTAGGGTGTTTATCTGTTAATTAAATGTTCGTGGGTTTAAGTCCCATCAATCTAGTAAGGGCTTAGCTTAATTAAAGTGATTGATTTGCGTTCAATTGATACAGAGTAGAATTTTACAGTCCTTAGGTTTTTGCAGAACTTCAGTATAATGTACTTGCTAAGAGCTTCGAAGGCTCTTGGTCTTACTTAACCTCCGTTTCTAGATTATAAATAGTGTCAATGGAGATATTGGTAGGAGGAAGGTAGAGAAGATGATGAGTGGGGGGAGGAATAATACGGGTTTTGTGTTTTCGAACTGTCATTTTCTTTTTATATTATTGGATGTGGGGAATATTGTCACTGAAGTGGAGTAAATTAAGCATATATAAAAATATAGGTTGAGTAAAGTTATGATGGCTATGATGGTTGGGATAATAAGACTTATTTTTTGTAAACTCTTGGATAATAATTCATTTAGGTAGGAATCCTGTTAATGGGGGTAAACATCCTAGGGATAATAAAATTGATAGGATTATAGATATTAATCATGTTAATTTGTTTTAAATGTGAGATAGTGATAAGGTTGTGGTGCTTGAATTCAGGTTGAGTACTTGGAATGCAGCAATTGTTGGGATGAAATAGATAATTAGGGTAAAAATGGTAATGTTTGGGTTATACATTAGTACTGCTATTATTCAGTCTATATGAGTGGTTGAGGAGTAGGCTAAAATTTTACATGGTTGTGTTTGGTTGAGTCCTCCTCAACTGCCCACTAAAATAGATAGATAGGAGAATATTTGTATTTATTGATGGAAAAATTTGATTGAATTGAATTGAAATAGGGGTTAGTTTTTGTCACGTGAGGAGAAGTATGCCAGATGTTAGAGAAGTTCCTTGGGTTACTTCTGGAACTCAGAAGTGAAAGGGGGTTATTCCTAATTTTATTACTAAGGCTATTATTATTATTAGGGATGAAAACTGATTAACAGTATTTATTGTTGTTCACTGTCCAGATAACAGATTATTGGAGAGAATACCGATTATGAGGACTATAGATGTGGTTGCCTGTATAAGGAAATATTTAGTGGCTGCTTCTGTGGAGCGGGGATTTATTTTTTAATTAAGATTGGGGCGAGGGCTAGTATATTTCTTTCTAAGCCTGTTCAGATGAAAAATCAGTGTGAGGCTAGCATTGTGATAAGGGTACCTGTAGAAATAGTAAAGTAGATGATAAGCTGAGCTAATAGGTTAATTAGTATGGGAAGGATGTAACCAACATTTTTGGGATATGGGCCTGATAGCTTATTTAGCTGACCTTACTTTAGGACGTGGTGTGATAGGTAGCATGGAGAATTTTGGATTCTCAGGGATGGGTTCAATTCCTATAGTCCTAGAAATATGAGGATTTCAACCTCTGTTGTTTATTCTGTCAAAGTAATTCTTTTGTCAGACATGTTTCTTACGTTTGGGGTGGGATGCTGGAGATTATGATGGGTATTGAGATGTATCATACACAGAATGCTAGTGTAAGTGGTAGAAAGTTTTTTCATAAGAGATGTATAAGTTAATCATAGCAGAATTGGGGATAAGCTGTTCGAATTCATAAAAATAGGGAGGTTAAGAGGAGGGTCTTGGTAATGAAATATGTAGTATAGAGTTCTGGTGAATACATAGAGTGTAATTGTTCCTAGGAAAATTGTAGTAGTTAGGGAATTTATTATTATAATATTCATGTATTCTGCTATAAAGAAGAGGGCAAATGGACCTGTGGCATATTTGATGTTGAAACCTGAGACTAACTCTGATTCTCCTTCTGTTAGGTCAAAAGGGGCTCGGTTAGTTTCTGCTAATGCAGAAATAAATATTATGGCTAGGGGTCATGATGGTAGGAGTAGCCAGAGGGATTCTTGTGTTGTGATAAGTATATATAAATTGAATGAGCTGCTGTTGGGGGAAGTCAGGGACCCCGAATGGAGGGACCGGCTGAAGCCATGGTAGAAGAACGTGGATTGTGAAGATTTCATGGACATTTATTAGTTCCCCAAATTAGTACTTTTATAATTTCTTACGCCTGTCTTTACTACAGTCTCTGAACATAAATTGTGAAGATTTCATGGACACTTATCACTTCCCCAATTAATATCCTTGTGATTTCCTATGCCTGTCTTTAGTTTAATCTCTTAATCCCGTCATCTTCGTAAGCTGAGGAGGATGTATGTCGCCTCAGGACCCTGTGATGATTGCGTTAACTGCACAAATTGTTTGTAGAACATGTGTGTTTGAACAATATGAAATCTGGGCACCTTGAAAAAAGAACAGGATAACAGCAATGTTCAGGGAACAAGAGAGATAACCTTAAACTCTGCCAATGAGCCAGGCGGAACAGAGCCATATTTCTCTTCTTTCAAAAGCAAATGGGAGAAATATCACTGAATTCTTTTTCTCAGCAAGGAACATCCCTGAGAAAGAGAATGCATCCCTGAGGGTAGGCCTCTAAAATGGCCGCTTTGGGGGCAGCCATCTTTTACGGTCACAGCTGTGGGATGAAATAAGCCCCAGTCTCCTGTAGCGCTCCCAGGCTTATTAGGATGAGGAAATTCCCGCCTAATAAATTTTGGCCAGACCGGTTGTCTGCTCTCAAACCCTGTTTCCTGATAAGATGTTATCAATGACAATGCGTGCCCGAAACTTCATTAGTAATTTTAATTTCGCCCTGATCCTGTGGTCCTGTGATCTTGCCCTGCCTCCATTTGCCTTGTGATATTCTATTACCTTGTGAAGCATGTGATCTCTGTGACGCACACCTTATTCGAACACTCCCTCCCCTTTTGAAAATTACTAAGAAAAACTTGCTGGTTTTGTGGCTCGGGGGGCATCACGGAACATGCCAACATGTGATGTCTCCCCTTGACACCCAGCTTTAAAATTTCTCTCTTTTGTACTCTGTCCCTTTATTTCTCAGACCAGCCAACACTTAGGGAAAATAGAAAAGAACCTATGTGAAATATCGGGGGTGAATTTCACCCGATATCTGGCTGAATTTCCCCTGATAAGCTGCTTATCAGTAGAACTGATAATAGGCTGATGGCTAGGGTAACTTCATATGAAATTAGGCGATGGCTTGTAATGTGCCGATTAGTCATAGTTTGAATAGGTTGCTCATCCTGATCATAAAATAAAGTAGATGACTATTTTGAGGGGTTGGCTAAGGCATAATTATCTAGGTCACTCAGGAGGTCAAGTGAAGATAGTACTAGCATTATTAAAAGGAGGAGGAGAAAAATTAAACCTAGGATATCTTTGATTGCATAGGAAGGGTGAAAAGTGATTTTATCGAAGTGCCCCCTCTCCACTTCATGCACTCACTGAATGCCATCTAATGCTTTAGGGTATTAGCCACAGGGCCTTTCTCACTTTCTCTTTGGGTCCCAGACCCCAAGAATCCTCCCAGGAGATCCCATTCCCAGAGCCTCCCTCCCAGGCATCCCCCCACTCCTGGGCTCCCCACACTCCAAGATCCTTGCTCACAGTCACCCATGATCCCAGGGCTGTCATTCGCAAGGGCTGAGAAGCCTCAGCCTCCATGCCCCCGAAATTGCAGGGTTCCCTTTGGGGCGGTCACCTGACCCCAGTGTCCTTTAAGGCCCTGGTGGTCCTGCCTCTCCCAGCTGCCCCAACTCTACTGTATTCTCCCCATGCTCCCCACATGGGTGCTGCAGAACAAGTGAAGGGCACAGATGGTCTGGGGGTTCTTGAAGATCAGGGATGCAGCCTCTGCTTCAAAGACACCTTCAGCCACCCCCTACTTCCCTCAGGGACAATGTGACAGACACAGAAAGTCCAGCCTATAAGGGGAGACCCTGGTCTCTTTCCCTTGGAGGTAAGAGGGGAAGGGCTTATTGAGAGTATGGTCCAGAGCAGATACTCCTGGCCACAGAGGAGCTCCAGCTCAAAGAGGTCACAGGAAAAGTGGGGGGCAGTGAGGGGGGTGAAAGGGGTTGGAAAGTAGGGCCCTGGAGCTGTCAGTCTCCTTGACACCTGGCTCACCCTGGATCCCTGGAGATCCTGAATCTCCTGGCTCCCCCTGCAAAGAGATTGATGTCAAAAACCTATTTGCCCCATCAGAAAATCCTGGTATTCCTCACATCTCATTCTTTTATGTCTCCCCAATCAAAGTTGTCAGAAAACCAACTTTCATCCCTCAGTTGAAATACTTGTCCATTCACCCCCTTCCCAGTGACCATCTCTCCAGGGGGACCCAGGTTCCCAATGCCTCCTGGGGCGCTTTGTGGGCCCTGAGGGAGGAGCAGAAATAGGCGTCATTGCTTAGGGAGGTGGGCCCATTTCTGGGGCAGAGGCCAGGATAAGTGCTCCAAGGTCACTACAGGGAGACAGTGAAGCCCTCCTGGGGAAAGGGGCTTCTCTTGGCCCCTGAGACAAGACTAGAGTTTATGGCCTGGGGAAAGGGAGGCAGAGGACCAGACACATTAATCAGGAAGACCCTAGGGACAGAGGTGGGCTGAGTCAGGAGAATGGGGGCAGGGGCTGGGGTCCTCACTGGGGTGAGGAAGGAGCTGGCTCACCCAGGCTCCCTGGGAGCATGGAGAGAGAGGACACTCATGCCACACACACCCTGTCTCTGGGGGGCCCATGGAGGCCTTCGCCCCCGATGTTCCCTATGGGGGAAACAGAGTGGGAGGAGCTGCTCCTCAGTTGTCCCCAAGGTCAGGTGGTTGAGGGAGAGCTGGGGCTCAGTGGGCAGGGGTCAGGGGGAGCCCTGCAGAGACCACTGACCTTAGCTCCAGACTTCCCAGTGGCACCTCAAGGACCCGGCTGACCCTGTGGACCCTAGAGAGGGGAGTGTTGTTGTCAGAAAAACCCAAACCCATTTGGACCTTGAGCCCCCTGTTTCTCTCCCTTGCACTTGCCATGAGGCCCCATTCTCCTCGAGGCCCTGACTTCCTTGACAGGCCCTGGTGGGAATGGAGTGGACATCCCCCGGGGCGTGCCTCCCCACAGAGCCCCCCCCACACCCCTCCAGCCTTTCCCTCCACACCTTCTCCCTATCCCCAGCTTCCTCAGGCTCCGTTCTCCCCACTGACTCCAGGAAAGCCAGGAAATCCCAGGAGTCCCTGGTGAGGAAGGAGAAGCGGGGAAATTGAGAAGTTATGAGAGGTCAGGCTCGGGAAGGAGCAGAGGGGGCCAGCAGAGGCCATGCAGGCAGCGGCATGGAGACCTGGATCCTGCCACAAATGAGGTGGCCTGGGACAAACCCCTGCTGCTCTCGGCCTCTCTCTCATCTGTAGATTGGGGGCCGCTAAACACTCTTGAGGGCCCCCCACTGCTCTGCTAGTCTGTGCTCCCTGGAATCGAAGTCAGGGAAGTGAAAAGGAGGAGGGGCACACACCCGGTGTCACCCTGAGTTCCTGGCATCCGGGGTAGCCAGGCAGACCAGGAACACCCAGCTTGCCCTGTGGAGGGACAGGGAGCAATTAGGAGTGAGAGGAGGCCCTGGTGCTACTTTCTGGAGACCCCGACCCTCACATGTGAGGGCCATGCCCCATCCCCCAGTGCACCCACACACCCCAGCTCCTAGCCCCTTCTCTCCTGCCCCATGGCTGCCTTTTGCAGTATCTCCTTCCAGAGGGTGAATTTTCCCCAACTCTAGTGCTGGGATCCTGCTTTCCTGTGCCTGCAGCCCTGTCAAGTCCTCAGGGTCACTGTGATCCAGCTGCAGCCCACCTGCCGACCTCAGTACCATCTGTCCCAGCACCCACTCCTGCTCCATCCACCAAGATCAGTCACCCTGCAGGCCCCCTGCCCTTTGCCCACGTGGCACAACACCCCAACTCCCCAACCTGTCCCCTTCCTCCTGATGTTCCAGGGCTCCTCCTGCCCAGGATGCTGTGGAGCAAGGGTTGGGAGCAGCAATTCTGCAGCCAGACTGCCCTGACTCAGCCCCTGGCCTGCCCATCACTGCTGGTGTGATGACCAAGCCTTCCTGTGCCTCTGGAGAGTCTCATCTGCAAAACAGGACCATCCACGCCCACCTAACAGGATGGAGAGAACACCTTAGCACAGTGCCTGCACATGGCGAGGGCTGGGGGGAGTCAGCCCTGGAGACCACAAGTCTCACTGCTGTTGGACACTCCCTTTTCGAAGCTACTGCTCTGAGCCTGGGCATGTTCACTTTGCCTGGGACCTGCAGCCACTCTGTGCCTCATCTCCAATCAACTCTTCACACAGTGGCTTTTCCTTGACTTTTCCTATAGGTTCCTCAACCCATCAGCAGCCAGCAGGTGCCGTTTACAGAGAGAGGAGCATAATTAAGGCACGGCCATCTTCAATTGACTGGCTGATGTCAGCTGTGGGCACCCTGCATGCCCGTCCTGACCTAGTGCCCACATCCCTAGAGGGTCCAGGCACAGACCTCTCTTCCCATCATCATCTTGCCTGTGAGCCCTGGGAAGCCCAGGATCTCTAGTCAGTTCATTGTTTCCTTTTGCTCCTTGGGACCATCCTCTCCTCTGGAACCAGGGCTCCAGCCTCACCATGAGTGAGAGAGTGGGAGAGGTAAGCGTGGAGGCCTGGGGATGAGGTCTGGGCCCAGAGGAGAAAGGGGCACCAGTGAGGCCGAGTGGGGCTGGCGGATCCCAGTAGCTGTTGCAGGAGAGGGAGCCTGTGGGGTATAGAGAGTGTGGTGATCCAGGGCCAGCGCGATGCAGATCATGGGTTTGCTGTCCTGCAGGGACCAGGCCCCCAAGGATGCACAGCACTGGAATTGAGGAACCCGGGGCCTCCATGGAATGAACCGGTGCTTGGGGGCTCCAGAGTGGAGAATCATTAGGACATGGAGTTGGGGCCAGTGTGGGGTCTCTACTCAGCCTGACACCTTTCACATCTACGTCACCTTTGAACCTCAGAAAGCCATCCCCTGAGAAAGGTGGAGGTGAGATGACCCCACAGATGACAGAGGGCCGGGGGCTCTAATGGAGGATTCTGAGAACATGGGTGGAAGGGTGGGATCAGGAGCTGGAGGGCAGCCAGGGGCAGGCTGAGGAGCGGCAATGGCAGGAGTGAGGTGCTGGGAAATTCTGCTCACCTTTGCATCTTATGGCCCTTCAGACCCCGATTTCCATCTGCACCCTGAAATTAGAGGATGACAGAGTGGCCAGGGGATGGAGGTGGGTTGGAAGGAGTGAGCTCCTGAGACCCCATCTCGCTCCCTTCAACACAGTCCTTTATCCCCAGCCTGGAGGTCAGTTACCTTGACACCTGGAGGTCCTGGGTATCCTAGAGGGCCCTGAGGTCCAGATGGACCCTGGAAGAAAAAGGCATTTGTTAAGGGTCCCAGGGTGTCACTGAGGGGGGCTTGGGGTGGGAGAAATAAACGTCACGGTGCTGGAGTCTGGGTAGGGCTCCAGGGCACAGGAGTTTCACACCACGTGGACCGTCACTTACTCCTCCAGCATTTACTGAGCGCCTCCTGTGTGCTGGTGGGTCCTCAGCGCTGAGGCCGACCCATGGTCTGCAGTGACCGTGCTATGCCCAGAGGGACGGCTCCTCCCTGGCCTCCCACTGCCTGGGTGCCGGGGCTCCCCAAGCGTGCACCGTCCTGGGATCCCCCTCCCAGCCCAGTTATGCACCATACTGGGGGTGGAGGTGGCAGCAGTGGAGATGAGATCAGGGTCCCTGTGCTCTGCCCAAGGTTAGTGGGAGGGACTAGGGTGGCCATAGTTGCTAATCAGGGATTCCGAGGGGAGAGCCTGGGCAGTGTCAGATGGTGACAGCCTGGGACAGCTTCTTGTGTGCAGGGTGACAGCAGCCCCTGGGGAATGCTGGGTGGGGAAGGGTGGGGGCTGGCTCATCCTCTGTCCCAGCCTGGGGCGGGGGGACTGCAGCCTCTGTCTGTTCCCTGGTGCTGACCCCCCCAGAGAGTCCCTCTGCATCTGCAGCCCCTGTAACTCATCCCTAGTAGGGGCCCAGCCGGCCTGGGCTCTGTCTCCTGGCTCCTGAGCCTCTGGTGTAGCTGTTGCCAGGGATGCCATGTCTGTCCTTGGGGCCAACAGAACCAGGCCCAGAAGTGTCCCCACCCCACATCCCCCCAGAGCGGGTGTGCCCCTGCACAGCCCAGCCCAGCCTGTCAAGAATGGGTCCCAGCGAACAGGGGCCTCTCACCCTCATCTGCCCAGCCTTGGGGAGCCTGGGCTGGGACGGGTGTTGGGGTCCTTAGGCCTGTGGGCAGCAGACACCAGGTCCCCAGTGACCAGACTGTGGCCAGGTTGGCTGAGTGCTCACTGCAGCCTGGGCCAAGAGTGGCCCTGTCCCACTGCCGTACTCACCAGACCCTGTGAGGCCGGTGGGGGGAACCTGGACAGTGCACCTTGTCCAAGGTCCCAGGAAGGGGAGGCGGTTGATGTCCTTGAAGAAGCACAGAACATCCTCACTCTGGCCACCAGGACGGGAGCAGGGAAGCCCCCGTGTCCACAGTGCACGGCCGGGCACATGGTACTCCCTGCCCTTCTTCCTGCCCCGTCATCCAGGCTTGGCCAGGGGCCTGCCCAGTGCTACTCCCCTCCCTCAAGTCCCCGACACCTGCACTGTCCTCACTGACCTGGGAGCCTGTGCCCATTCTCCACTGTGTCCCCCAGTCATGGCCATGAGAGGGACATCTGAACCACGGCAACCACTGGTGAATTTTAGTCAGCCGGGCAGCAGCTGTACCCCCAGGCCAGCTCCCAGTCGCCCACCCTGCACTTGGGGTGCTCCCAATGGGTGTTCAGCCCTGCCTGGGCCAACTCCACTGTGGGGTTTTCCTATTCCCTGGCCATCTGTGGCCACAGCAGAGGGCACCTGCGACTTTAAACTGGGGACCCACCTTGGGGATCCCCTCTGTCTCTTCCCAGGTTCTAGGCACAATGCTGTCCCTCCTGCCTCCTCCTGGCTTCTGGGCCTTGGCACCCACGTCCCCCAACCCTATGCTCCCTGCTGGACCCTTCGCCATCCCAGCGCTGCCACCTTCAGCCCACACACATTCCTCTGGCTCTGAAACCCTCCCCTGCCAGCACCAGGCCCCATGCTATGGCCTAGCGCACCCTTTCCAAGGACAGGGAGCAGCTCCTTCCTTGACTGGTCCCAGGCACAGGAGAACCCAGGTCAGAGACTCCCCAAGGAAGTTGCCTGAGCCCCCACTGCACAGAGGTGGAATGTGCCCCCTGGGTCTGCCAGGCCTTGATGTGAGTCAAGCTGGGCTGCCCCAGGAAGCTGCCCCTCCTGAAGTTGGTGTTTGTCCTCAGCTGAAGTGTTTCCCAAATTCACATCTGCTCAGAGCCTCTGAGTGTGATTTTATGTGAAGATGGTGTCTCCATATTGGGGGATGCGATGGAGCTGCCCCTTGGCCCGGCAGTACAGCAGCAGCTGCAGCCTGCCCATGAGAACCCTGACTGCCTTGAACCTCAGGCCTCAGTCACCAAGGGTCACCACGCGGAAGGACCCGGGGGCTGCTGAGCACCAGGGATGGGCTCCTGACTCCTCAGGCCCAGTGCCACTGTGGAAGCTTCTTCTGAACGCCTGAGTCCAGGGCTGGATGCAAGAGCTTAGTGTGCAATGCAGACATTCAGGAAGCGTCACAAGTGTGGGCCCCATCCACACTCAGCCCTTCCCACATCCTACAGACAGTGGGACCCAAGCCTCCACCCTAGCAGCGGCATAAATTCCCAGCCCCTGGGACACCCGCTCTGTGCCCCTGTGGCACTGCCCTTTCCCTCAGCGCCCAGATGTAAGTTCTTAGGCCAAGAGACACGAGAACCACATCAGCCCCCAGCCTCGCCTCCTCTGCCCAGCCATACTTGAGCTGGCCCACTGGCCCACTGTAATTGCAGGCTGCAGCCTCATCTGCTGCTTGGCCCCCGCCTCCCTTCCTCCTACATGTGTGCTTGCAGCTGCAGCCCGGGCTCAGGAGGCAATTGCTTTGCACAGGCCCTGGAACAGCTGGGAGTGAGTGCAGCTGCAGGGCGGGGCTGGGCTGCTCTTCCACCCTGGATGGGGTCTTGTCTGGGAGCATGGTTTCTAAAGGGGGCAGGGCAGGACCCAGCTAGGTAACCTGCAGCCCTGAGATCAGGGACCTGTCCCCATCCACTGAAGGGCCCTGGGTCATGGGGCCTGTGTCACCACCACAGGTGGGGTTCCCACACTGCTATAGTTTTCCCTGAAGGCCACTGATGGAGAAGGGAGATGAGTGAGGAACATGTCCCAACAGCCTGGCCAGGTGGCTCTCATGGGTGCTGTCAAAGGAGAGCACTGGCCCTGCAGGCTCAGGGAGCAAGCGGCATTTCAACTGCCCTCAAAGAATGGACAGATGCAAGTGGTGGGAAGATAAGATGCTGCCCCAAGCATGAGGGAAAATTCCTTGTCCAGTCTCACCAGATCAGACGCTCCCAGTGGAGCAGCAAGGACTGAAATTTAAGGTGAGAGCAGCTCATGGAAAATTTTTTAAATGACAGGCTAGGGAGTTTGGATTCTACTTTTTTGAGCAGAAGTTGAAAACTATGGCTTGTATCCTGATTGACCAGCATGGTGTTTTTGTCTGTGGATGAGTTTCTCTGGGCTGGTGGGGTATGGAATGTGCACCCTTCTATGATTCTGGAGGCCACTGCTGCCTGTGGCTCACTCCTGATTCCTGCCGTTAGGTCATCTTTTCATATCTGGGGATGGATTTGTTTAGAAGGTTTTGGGGAAGAATCTGTAGAATTTGGAATTAGAGAAGTGCAAGGGATCAAAAATCAGTCAGGTTTGAGCCAGGAGTGGGTACCCCAGGAAAGGGTGAGAGAGGGTTCTGGAGTGGAAGACACCTCACAGCTGCCGGCAGGTGGCTGCTAGAGTGGAGCTGGGTTTCAGGGTTGGAGCTGGAAATCAGGGAGCTGCCAACAGGGAAGAGGTAATTATGGGAGACAATGGAGCCTGGAAGGAATGTGCAGGGAAAGGAGGGCAGAGGGCCTGGAACCTTAATGCAAACCCGTGTTACAGACCCAGGAAGAGGAGGTGGTTAGGAAGCAGGAGAGGTGGCTGCCTTGGGGCGCTGGAAAACAACCACATAAGCAAGTCCCAGTGGAGTTCACTGGGGAGGCTGGGCCCTATGCCAGCAGCCATGTGTCAGACACAGGGCAGGGGAGCAGCTGAAAGTCTTCTTCGCAGTTCTAAGAAGTGCCCCAAGCCTGTTTTCACAGCGAGAGGCCCTGCACACCCCTTTCTCCCACTGCCAGGCATACTGTGAACCCTCTCCTGCTCAGGAGGAAGAAGAGCCATCTCCTGGCTTCTCAAGAGCCCTGTGGGGGTGAACTGCCCCTTAGGCTGGGACACAGGCCTGGCTTTCCCGCCCACCCTACAGCCCGGCACAGGTGCTGTGTCTGTCCTGCCTGTTATTTCCAATGTGCATATTCGTGGATGTTTTCCACCCATTTCCATTTATTTTAAAGGAGTTCCTAATGTGTGAGGCTACTTGACATCGAGGCCATTCTGGAAGTGCAGGATTGCCATTTGGGACCCCTCTGCACGTTGCCTGTGCCTGAGAGCATCTGGACTGTATCAAAAGGCTGCTCAGTGCGGCTGCCTGGTTGTTTCCCTGTGCAGCTGTTTTCCTGCACTTTGCTTGGCAGAGAGCTGGGTGGAGGAGTCAGAGAAACCAGGGCCGAAGCTGGCTCTTCTACTTGCCAGGTGAGACTTGGACCTCAGTTTCCATATCTATAAAGCTGAGAGAATCTATTTCTGGAAGGATTAGTGATGTTTCTCCAGTAAGTACCTAGTAGGTACTCAACAAATGCTACTGATGATTTCTGGCGGACGCAGGCTACCATCCATATAGCTGCCTGGTGAGGAGGGAGAAGGGGACAGGATGCCAAGCCGAGTCAGCCGTGTTTAGGAGAATGGAGCACTGGGAAGCCAGGTCACTGTCAGGTGTTTGAAAATGTCTCGGGATAGAGAGATTCCCAACATGGGAGAAAACCCCAAACCAAAAAGACCCAACCAATTGAGAACTAGGTTCACGACCTGTGTACAAAAGTTTTTAAATGTAGCCAAAGTGGCTATTGGCAGGGTTTTTATCATGCACCCAACTGAAATGGTTTGTTGAGGGAAAATTGTAGTTTCATCATTCCATCCATTCTGGGTGTGGTATAGGGTAAAAAACAAAACCGTTCGGGAATAGGAAGATTATGAATTGCCCCCAAATGATGGTCAGAATAGTTTTCTATTATAGAATCTTATTCATTTTAATGTGCCGCTTTTAAGTCTTTTTAGTGGAAAATATTCATTTCGTGTAAGGTTAGTTGTTGGGGTATTTTTTTAATACACTATCTTAAAAATGTCTTGAGGAGAAGCAGTCATAAGGGTTTCCAGCCAAGCCACTCATCTGACAGCTGGATTCATTTCTGTCAACACAGGGCAGTGCGTTACTGTTGAGCTTTATGTGCTAAATACACGTTAGTTCCATATTTTTCTTTAGTTCCTTTTGGCATGGCTGTAGGGAAAAGGATCAACTTTGTGGGTTTGTTCGTTTGTTTGTTTTTGAGATGGAGTCTCGTGGCTGTCGCCCAGGCTGCAGTGCAGTGGCACGATCTCGGCTCACCGCAACCTCTGCATCCCTGGTTCAAGCAAGTCTCCTGCCTCAGCCTCCCAGTAGCTGGGATTATAGGCACCCGCCACCACGCCCAGCTAATTTTTTTGTATTTTTAGTGGAGACGGGGTTTCACTATGTTGGCCAGGTTGGTCTCGAACTCCCGACCTCAAGTGATCCACCCACCTCAGCCTCCCAAAGTGTTGGGATCACAGGCATGAGCCACCATGCCCAGCCTCAACTTTGTGTTTTAACACGAACATCCTTTCTGTTTTAGTTAGGACTTCATATTGTTTGTGACTCCTTTGTGAATGATAGGAAACCGCTTCCACCTGGGTAAACAGTGGAGGACATTTCTGGGTTCAGATAACTTAAAGGATGAGAAGCAGAGCAGGTTTAGGGTCAGTTCGACCAGTGGTTCCACAGTATCACTGAGACCTCAGTTTCTTTGAATTTTGTGATTCTGCTTGCCTTGGTGTTGACTTCATCCTGAGCCTGGCTTCCTGGAGCATGGGCATATGGCTGCAGCAGGTTCAGTCTTACATGCCAAACACTTCCTGTTTCCCATTGTAAAACCCCCTTTCCCATACCCCTCCCCTTAAGTCGCATTGGCCCAAACTGAGCCCCATGTTCAAAGCTAAACCAATCCCTTTGTCCAGGACTTTGCCAACTTTTCATCAGGTTAAGCCTGGATCATTTGAACCAGTGACTATGGGCAGGGGAGACAAATTGAACCCATCAGGGTCCACACCTGGAGCTGAGGTCAGATTTGCTCCATACCACCCCCATGCCCCACATTGTAAGGTGACAGCACAGTGGTCAGGGCTGGAAAGGAAGGGGTCAACCGTGGCATCCACTATAGCCTTGAAGCAGGATTCTGGGCAGCTGTCATTGGGAGTTTGCATATATGGGAGGAGTTAGAGATGAAGGGAGTTCTCCTGGGGAAGCCTCCCTGCTGTGATTGTCAGTGTTGGCCCCACGCTCGTGGACAGCATCCAACTGTCAACTTCACACATGGTCCCTCATTGCTGTCCTAATATCTGGGGGGGTCTCCTTTAACACTCCTTGTTAGAGAATATGGATCATTTTTTTTTCCTTAGAAACCATTTCTTTTTTTTCATCACTGACAATTGCCAACATACAAAGAAGAAAAGAGAAGCAACAACATTCCCGCACATACTCACAAATGGGTGTTTTAAAAAGTAGTGATTCTGAACCTTTGGGGTCAGGTCATAGATCCTTTGGGAAACCTAAGGAAAGCCGTGGGCTGTCTCTAGAAAAACATGCATGCAGGTGCCTTCCTGTGTGATTTCAGAAAGCCAAGCTGCAGAGCGCACGTTGTACCCAGTGGGGGACTTGGAGGAGGTTGTTGTTTTTGTTTTCTTTGTAGGCAGTGAGGCAAGTCCAGGAACTGGATTGCATTCACAAAGGAGGAGGGTTGAGGAGGGTACAAGTCCAGTTATTATAATGAAGTAATTTTTAATCTGATCACTGACAGTGACTGTTTCACTCTGCCAGGAGTGTTCAGAAGTAGCTCCCTGAGGATGGTGGTGTGTCCACCTTCTTTCTCAGCACAGGCCTTGGCACAATTTTTTTTTAACTTTCTTCTTGCAACAAGCATATATTGAGTTCTTTGTGTTTATGTTCCAGGATTGTGGTGGTCTTGGCTTACTAAGGTGTTAGACGGTCCCTTCATGTTTCTGGTCACGAGTTCTCTGAATCCACTTTAATTGTATTTTGCTTTGAAATCAGGATTTGGATAATGAGCCAGCATTGACCCCTTTTCTCTGTAGCATGAAAGTTCTGAGGTCTTAGTGCCCTGTTGTTTTCCTGGAACCCCTTCTTTGTCTGTGTCTGTTTGTTTCTCTCTGTCTCTGTGTCTTTCTGTCTCTCTCTCTCATGCCTCTCAGTTCGGCATGTTACCATCTTGGCTCCACACAAAGCCACTTTCTCTCCCCCTCCCTCCCTCTCTGTCTCTCTTCCTCCTTCCTCTGTATCTGTTCCCCTCACCCTTTCTAATGTGTATCTGTATATGCTCTATCTGTTTGTATTTTTGTAAGATATAATTTCAAGTGACAAAAAGGTAATGCTCAAATCTCATCTGTATCACATAACGGAGGGAAAGTGCCTGCCTGGAATAACATCCTATACCTCCACAACTCAGCATGCCTTCCTTGACCTGGGTTCATATTAAAAGAAATGACAACAGTTTTCTTAAAAATGACTTTAGCCAGTCAAACAGGATTCTGTTCTGAAGGACCTTCCTCTAAAGGCAGACCTGAAGTCTGTGGAGTGGCCTGGTAAGAATTTTCTGTGTCTTCAGTAAAGACAAATGCACTATCTAGTGGGGAATTTAGTGAGATAAATAGCAAAGTTAAGAATAATGGCACAGAATAGGAAGGACTGAAGCAGAAGCTATTAGGCAATGGAATCCATGAATAAATAGGAACCATCCCATGAAGGGTGAGCAAGTAGTCGAAAGAAGTTAGCATGAGTAGAAGAAAAGGAGAATAAGAGTAAGATGGAGCTGGGGCAGCTCCCATTTATTCTTCTCAGTGAAGGAATACTGCCAAGGGCAGCTGCCTGTTAAGTGTTGCTGTGGAAACACTTAACAAATGGAAACTTGACAAGAAGTATGTAACATGTTCCTGAAGTACAAGAAGCTTCTAATACTGAGCAAGAAAATGATACATGTCAACTGTAAGGATGCCAAAACAAAATGAGTGGTTACCAACGAGTAATTTCACTCTCACGTACCATTTGACAATAGTTAGAGACATTTTTGGTGGTCACAAAAGGGTGCTGCTACTGGTGGACTGCTGTGTAGTGAGTGGAGGCTGGAGATGCTGCCACAATTCTACAATGCACTGGATAGCTGCCTAGCGACAGAATCATTCAGCCCCAACATCAAGAGTGCCAAGGTTGAGAAACACTTACCTAAACCACGACACGTTGGTTCAAAACAAATTAACCTTTCTTTCTAATTCTGACATATTTCAAATCAATTCTTAGCCCTTTAAACTATGTGCTTCTACTATGAATATCACTAGTCATTATAATTGAAAACATCTGAAGTTAAGTACATAAACTTCTACAATTTAAAGTTATTATTTTGTTTTGAAAGATTCCACTCCTTATACAAGAAAAGGAATATGTTGAAAGGTTCTCTGAGTTGTATTATTGCAGTGTTGCTGATGTAAGTAAAAGGAATCGGCAGAAATGGATATTTTCAGACAATAGGGAAATAATGAAAGTGATGAAATTGCAGAGTCAAATCTGTTACCTTTATAAAGCAAAATGTCCAAAGCCCATTGCCCTGTAGCCCTAGTCCATCTAAATGTGCGTATTTCGGCCTTCTGCAGACTTAATATACTTATTCAATAGCTGACTCTAGGCAGGTAAGTGCTCAATAATGTGGCCATGTTAGAGTTACACATGGACGGGTAAATGTTTACCTAGTGTGATTTCAACTTCAGAGAGAAAAAAATATATTCTTCACTGACAAAGGGGAAATGATTGCCTTGTCTTTTCAAAGTCATTAGATTCTACCATTAGATACAGAAAAATCCTAGGCAGGGTAACATACAGATTGAGCATCTTAATCCAAAATACTGAAATCTGAAATGCTCCAACATCTGAAACTTTTTGAGTGCTGACATGATGCCATAAGTGGAAAATTCCACACCTGACCTTAGGTGATGGGTCACAGTCAAAATGCAGTCAGATTTGTTTTTATGCGTAAAATTATTTAAAATATTTTATCTAATTAGTTTTAGGCTATTTGTATAAGGTGTATACAAAACATAAATGAACTTTCTGTTTAGACTTGGATTACATCCCCAACATATCTGATTATGTATATGCAAATATTTCAAAGTCTTAAAAAAAAAAAACCCAAATCCACAATACTTCTGGTCCCAAGGTAAGGGGATCCTTAGCCTGTATTAAATTTTAATAGCTGTTACCATTTTAATAGGAATTAATCTTAGAATTTTTAGAGATTTAACAGAGGTTTAAAATTCTTGTTGTTTTTAGGGTGGAGAAGAGAGCAGTTTAGAACAGAGGGCTGAGACTTCAGTAGGGAGCTTTCACAAGGCAGGGGCAAACCATGAACAACATGAAGCTTTGAGGAAAGCATAACACATCGAATGCTTCATAATTGAACTAAGTTTCTCCTAAATAGTTTACATTTATTTATCAATAATGTTATTTTTATTTTCCTTAAAAAATCTAGTAAGGTTGCTATGACAATTTTACATGTGTGGAAACTGAGGCCTGATTAGGAGTTCATCAATGTGCCCAGGGTCACATAGTGAGCAGATGGCAGAATGGGGTTTTGAATTGAGTTGTGACTGACCAGACAGAATGTACTTTAAAAAAATTGTCCCTCAAAATCCTTTCATGAAGATTATGTGAACGAACATTTAATGACTGGCCATAAAGTAAGGAAATCTACCATTACTTGATGATTTCTCTGCTAAATCCTATGCAAATATAGTATAGTAAATACTGTTCTAGTATAGTCTTTACATAAATTACTTTATGAACAATAATAGCTGCACAATTTGTTAGAGATATGCTCAGGAATAAACGAAACCAAAATTCAGTGGCTTGAACAAAAGAGGTTCATTTTACCTGTATCAAGAATCTTGGCTGGGCACAGTGGCTCACACCTGTTAGCCTAGAACTTTGAGAGGCTGAGGCGGGAATATCGCTTGAGCCAGCAGTTGAGACCAACCTGGGAACATGGCGAGACCCCCATCTCTACAAAAAATTTAAAAATTAGTTGGGTATGGTGGTATGCACCTGTAGTCTGAGGTACTCAGGAGGCTGAGGTGGAGGGATCACTTAAGCCTGGGAGATCGAGTCTGCAGAGAGCTATGATCGCACCATGCCACTCCAGCCTGGGCGACAGAGTGAGATCCTGTCTCTAAAGAAAAAAAAAGGAAGAGAAAGAATCTTATCCTATGTAATCAAGCCCTAGTATTTGTTGATTAAGTCCCTGAAAAGTCCACCAAAATCTCTTCATAAACCAAAGGCAAGTTTACTGCTTACTGTTGTATGGGACACCACCACTTGCAGAGCATCTTACTAGCTACTTATAGTAAGGAGGCCACAGGCAGGACGGTTGTGAGATATTTGGTGTCTGGTTTAACATGGCTTTCTTAACGTGAGGCGTGCTTGAAACTGGGTAAACTTCAAGGTACAATAGCTAAGGGTTAGTGAACACAGGGAGGTAAGGATTTGGAAGGGACTCTTGTTGGGTAGATAGCCAGTTGATTAGTTGGTTTGGATAATCTGCTGTCCTGAGAAGAGAGAAATGAGGATTAGTTGAGTGGTCTGTTGTTCAGATAAACAGATTAGGGGATGTTCCTGAAACTAACAATAATGTAAGTTTCAGTGTTATCGGGGCAAGAGTTTCTCCACTGAGTAAAGTCACTTAGATGCAGATGTGTTGGTTCTCACATTGTAGCTCAAAAATTTCATCAATGATTCAGGTTTCTTTATTTTTCCATTCTTACAGTTTGAAGGCAGCTGGAACAGTTTCAAACATCACACCCACATCCCAGATATTAGAAAGACAAGGGAAAAGAGAAGGGGCAAACAGCTAAAATCTAGGTCACCTGAGTCTGTCCGGTTTTTCCAGAAGTCTTGTATGTTGGTATCATTCCATTGGCCACAAGGTCTCATGACTAGCTCTAGCCAGAAGGAAACTGAGAAGGCAAATCTTTAGGCTTTACAGCTTCTCCAGCAGAAGGAGTAAAAAGAGGTTATAAATTGATTTTGTGTTGCTAATACACCGTGATGATTACCCAGATGATTTTATCTAAATAATTTTCTAACTAGACAGTATTAATATTAGCAGGTATCGTGATGAATCATGCTGTATCCCCAGGCACTCTGCCAGGTTATTTACATTCATCACTTCATGAAACTTCACTCTAACCATATTTTGTAGATATTAGTATTATTCCCTTTATGGATCAGGAAAGTGATGGTAATTAACTTGCCTAAGGACACAGAGTTGGTAGATATCAGAGAAGGGATTATAAGAACCCAGAACTATTTTACTCGAAAGTTTCTGCTACACATCCACTGCTTCTTCCAGTGTAAAGATGTAGCACTCAACTGTAATGGACATATTAACTGTGATTCATTAATGATGATTAATTAACTCTCCTGTATCCAAACAATGTCAGTTACAATCAGAAACTCCTATAATCAGATAATAAATCAAATTTACCTACATATCCAGAATGTTTTTTACACGATAAAATCTGACTGTAAGAAAAAATAAATTTCACCTAATGTGGAATAAAGTAGTGTAGCATTTTTTAAAATGTACCAAAGGCAATCAAATGAAACTGGTGTTATGAGCCATATTTTTGTTGGCAACTGTTATCACCCAAACACACATATTCAGAATAATTTCATCTTATTCAAAGATTCAAGATTCAAAAATATTTGTGAAAACTCATCTGAAAAACTCATCTGCAGCATGAACTTTTTCCTATTTTCCTGTAGTATCCCCACATCTAATTATTTTAAATAGCAATCTCAGTAAAATTATAAAATTAATAAAATTATTTTGTCCTAGCATGCTGCAGATTCTTCCATGTTTGCACTGTAAAATCAACTAATCGAAAATTTGAAACACACTGTTGCCTGTTACTTTTTCTGAGTCTATGAAAATATAAATTGTCATCTTTTCTTGCTGTTATTTTGCTATTCAGCGGGTACACAAATGCACATGACAAAATGAGGATCGCCTTATTTGTAAGACTGAAAATAAGGCTTGTGTTTCTCTCAAGTCGTGCTTGTATTTCTCACTGGCTATCAGGTGTCCCATCCCAGCCCCTGCTGTCCGCAGGGACCCCTCTGGGCAGCTGAGTCTTGCTCATTCCAGGACCTGGCAGCTACCCTGGAAAAAAACCATTGGCAAAGCTGTGCAGGCCCTCTTTGGAGACCGGAGGGCTTTCCTGGTGCACTGCCTGGGCCGGCAGCTTCCTCACAAACACAGCACACTGCTGGGGGCAAGCTGCTGGCCTCTCCTGCCTCACACAGGGCCGCTTAGGCGTGGTCCTACCAGTTCATCATTCTCCTGGGCAGCCATCTCCAGAGTGCCTTGCCCAGCCCATGTGGCCCCCATCGCCATAGCCCCAGGTGCCACCATTGTCCTAGGTGGTCAGCTCAGTGCCACCCTCACTGGCAGCCCACCCTCCCGTCCCACAGCCCAGATTTCCTGGCATTAAGCTCAGTCTCTTGCTGCTACAGGGAGCAAGAACTGTGCCAGGAAGCTGGGGGGCGAACAAGGTGTAGGAAGAGGACCCTGCGACAGAGGAGAGGTAAGGTCTGGGCATCCAGGGCCAGACTGGTCTCTGCCAGCTCCAAGGCTGACAGCATCCTGAGGGGACAGCGGGCCCCAGATGGACGGAGAAGGGGTGCTGCAGTGATAAACCCCGGACAAACACAGGAGTGATACAATTGTAAGAATCACGAGGCCGGGCATTGTGGCTCACACCTGTAATCAGCGCTTTGGGAGGTCCAGACAGGCAGATTGCCTGAGCTCAGGAGTTGGAAACCAGCCTGGGCAAGATGGTGAAACCCCGCCTCTACTAAAATACAAAAAATCAGCTGGGCGTGGTGGCCGGCGCCTGTAATCCCAGCTACTCAGGAGGCTTAGTCACGATGATTGCTTGAACCCAGGAGGCGGGGATTGTAGGGAGCCAAGATCGCGCCATTGCACTCCAGCCTGGACAACAAAGCGAAACTCTGTCCAAAAAAAGAAAAATAAAAGAAAAAATCACGGATGATGGGGCAGCGCACATTAAAAAGGGGGATCCTGGGGCCAGAGATCTGCTCTGGGTCCCGAGTGTGGGTAGCAGAGGGAGGCACGGCTCCCCTGCCAGGGCTGCACACTCTGCAGTGGCGCAGAGCGCCCGGGGTGCTCTGAGCGCGGGGCCCCCAGACATCGCGGGGCATCCTGCACAGCTGGGGTGCGGCCCTGAGCCGAGAGCGGGCCAGGGGTGCGGAGGACAGGATCTCCGATGCCCCCGCTCCTCGGGCGCCCGCAGGGCTGAGCTCCAGCTGGGAGCGGGGACCCGGCAGCCTCTAGGCCCGGGCTCCCTCCAGAGGCAGCGTTCCACCCTGACCCTAGCTTCCGCCTGCGGCGTCCAGATGCCGAAAGCAGGGAGCCTGAATCCAAAACTGCGATCAGAGAATCGTGTGTGTGAAGGGTTTCTTGTGTCCTCCGTGTTCCCCTGTGGAAGCGAGTGGAGGTGCCTCGAGCCTGCACACAAGATGCTCTCAGGAGACCCTGAGCTCCCATTGCGCCTGTGAAAGGAAAATATTTTGGGCCCCCCAAAATCATTAAATTAAACTTAAGCTTGGAGCTGCTTAGGGCAAACCTGCCTCCCATTTTATTTAAAGTCTCTCCCCTGCTCACTGAGATAGATGCGTATTTGATTTGCCTCCTTTGGAAAGGTGTTTGTGCTGGGCAGCACCAAGGCGCGGTGCAGGGAATGGTTCAGGACTGCGAGCAGATGCGGGCCAGGACTGTGTGTCCAGGAGCGGCAGGCGCCAAGTGCTGCTGCGTGGTCAGCGGCACCAGGTGCAGTCGGGGCTTGGGCACCTCCAGGTCATGCTTGCGTTTCTCCAGGGCGATCTCAGGCTTCCACAGGGTCTCCAGGGGACACAGCTGGGAGCCGACTGTCAGAGCGTCCAGAAGGCTCGTCTTACCGCAGCCCTTTTGCTGTCTTGGTTCCCGTGGATCCCGTTGCTCAGGCGGCGCAGGGGCTCCCTGTACTTGGGCAGCGGCTTTAGCTTGTCCAGGCACTGCTGCTGCTCGGCCCGGCTGGAGCCCGCTGGGCTCATGACTGAGCCGCGTTTCATAGGGGCGTTTAAAGATCCGGGTCATGGGACTCTGAAGTTCTGGTGCGCCATCCCTGGGCTCTGGGAGGGTTTCGGCGAGGGGCTGGGCAGGAAGCTAGCCACTGGGCGCTGGGGCAGGGCCGGAGCTGATGTTGGAGTTGGGCTGTGAGACCGGGGCTAGTCGGGTTGTGAGGACGGCAGTCGGGGAGGGGACATCGACTGCAGGGTCTGCACCTGTTGGCCCTGCGACGGCGAGGACATCATGGGGAGGCTGCTCTGGCTACCATGGACTCCGGGAGCCACCACCTGGGGAGCCTCAGCGGTCCGCACCACTGTCAGCTACTGCGTCCAGGACTGCACCGGCTGCAGCGGGGCTGCACTTGCAGCTGCTGAACTACCCTTGGAGCTCAGACAAATTGCAGCTGTTGTTGGGCATACATCTGTCCAGGGAATGCTTGCACTTGCCACACCAAAGGCTGGGTCTGTGACTGACTGTGGCGGGAGCTGCAATGGTTGGTTCTGAGCAGCTGGAGGTTGCCGGGACTATGGCAGCTGCTAGTGGTGGTGTGGTTGACGTATCTGCTGCAGCTGCTGGGGCAGGACCTGGGAGGGGGCAGGCTGCAGCAGACATTGCATTGGTGGCTGCTGTATTGGCACTGGGCCTGCAAAGCCTGTTGCTGCTGCTCCTGTAGCTGCAGCTGTGCCCTGTGCTGCTGCGTCTGTTGCTGGTTTTGATGATTCAATATAACTGGAAATTTTATTGGTCTTTTGTATTTTTTTTAGTCTCCATTTCTGTTCTGATTTTGTTTTGTTTTGTTTTGAGACGGATTCTTGCTTTGTCACCCAGACTGGAGTGCAATGGCACGATCTCAGCCCACTGTAACCTCTGCCTCCCCCGTTCAAGCGATTCTCCTGCCTCAGCCTCCCAAGTAGCTGGGATTACAGGCACCAGCCACCATGCCTGGCTAATTTTTGTATTTATAGTAGAGACTCGGTTTTGCTATGTTGGCTAGGCTGGTCTCAAACTCTTGACCTCAGGTGGTCCGCCTGCCTTGGCCTCCCAAAGTGCTGGGATTACGGGCGTGAACCACCACCCTGGCCTCTGCTCTGATCTTTGTTATTTCTTTTCTTCTACTAATTTTGGGTTTGCTTTGCTCTTGCTTTGCTATTTCTTTAAGATGCAACATTAGGTTGTTTATTGGAAGTTTTTCTACTTTTTATGTAGGTGTTTATTGCTATAAACTTCCCCCTTAGTACTGCTTTTGTTGTATCCCATAGATTTGGTTACATTGTGTTTCCATTTTCATTTGTCTCAAGAAATTTTTAAAACATTTTCTTCTTAATTTCTTCATTGACTCAATGGTCATTCAGAAGCATGTAGTTTAATTTCCATGTGTTTGTATGGTTTTCAAAGTTTCTTTAGTTATTTCTCGTTTTATTCCAGTGTGGTCAGAAAAACATATTTAATGTAATTTCATGTTTAAAAAAATTTTTTTGAAACGTGTTTTGTGGTCTACCATACGGCCAATCTTTGAGACTGTTTTATGTGCTGGGGAGAAGGATGTGTATTCTGAAGCTGATGGATGAAATATTCTGTAAATATGTATTAGGTCCATTGAGTCTACAGTACAGATTGTCTGATGATTCTTTGTTAACTTTCTGTTTAGATGATCTGTTCAATGCTGAAAGTGGGGTGTTAAAGTCCCAGCTATTACTTTATTGGTATTTGTCTCTCTAACTCTAATAATATTTGCTTTATATATCTGAGTGCTCCAATGCTGGGTACATATATATTTATAATAGTTATATTAGCTTGAAGAATTGATGATTATATAATAAACTTTATTGTCTCTTTTTACAGTTTTTGTCTTGAAATCTATTTTGTCTCATCTAAGTGTAGCTAGCTACTCCTGCTCTTTTTTGGTTTTCATTTCATGGAACGTCTTTTTCAACCCCTTCATTTTCAATCTATATGTGTCTTTATAGGTGAAGTGGATTTCTTGTAGGAAGCCTATAGTTGGCTCTTGTCTTCTAATTGATTGAGCTACTCTGTGTTTTTTGATTGGATCATTTAGTCCATTTACCTTCAGTGTTATTATTGATAGGTAAGGGCATAGTATTGCAATTTTGCTACTTGTTTTCTAGTTGATTGTTTGGTCCTCTCTTCCTTTCTTTCGTGCTTCCTGTGTTCCTTTGTATAAAAGTGAGTTGCTCTGGTAGTATGTTTTAACTGCTTGCTTTCTATTTTGTGCATACCTATCATAGGATTTTGGTTTTTGGTTACCATGAAGCTTGTATAGAACATCTTATAACCAATTATTTTAATCTAATGACAACTTCTTTTTACCTTCTTCTTTTGCAGAATTTGAAGGTCAGAGGTGAGAGCTTAGGGTCTTCCTGGGTCATTCCTGATCACGTGCCTGGCCCTGAGCATCCACATTGCCTTCTAGATTTCCAAAACTATTGTCACAGCCCTGAATTCCAGAGGGTGTCCTTTCCAAGTCTTCCTTCCTAGGGTTTTTCAACAAGACTATTTTTGCCCCAACTGATATCCTTTTCTCAGATGAGTGGGGTCAGCCATTTCCATTTAAATGTTTTTAACAGGCATTTAGTTATTGATTTGAGATTTTTCTGCTTTTTCATTGATGGAATTCTGCTGTAAGCTTCCTTCAGAGCATGGTTTTCAATTAATCCTGTAAGTTTTTTTTTTAGGTTTTGTCTACTTTTTCATTTATCTTAAAATACTGTCTTATACTACTTGTGGTTTCTTTTTTGGCCTTTTATTATTTTGGAAAGTTTCTGCTAATGTTCACATTTTTAGGAGTTTCCCAGATTTCTTCCTTTCATTGATCCTTAATGTGCTTTTATCATGATGAGAAAATATTCTTTGTATTATTTTAATCCTTCAATTTAATTGGTGTTTGTTTTATGGCTTTGCATAGTGTCTTAGAAAATGTTCTGTGTGCATTTGGGAAGAATACAGATTGTGCTGTTGAATGGTGTGTTCTATATGTATCTGTTAGGTGTATTTGGTTTCTGATGTTGTTCATATTTTCTATTTCCTTGTTATCTTGTGTCTAGTTGTTATACCCATTAGTGTAAGTGGGGTACTAAAGTCTCCAACTATCATTGCTGAATTATTTCATTTCTGTCAAGTTTTGCTTCTTGTGTTTCTGTACTCTTTCCCTGAGTGCATACATGTCAATAAGTTTTACATTTTCCTGATTAATTTACCCTTTGTCGTTATAAAATATCCTTATTTCTGTTAATATTTTTGTTGTTGTTTTAAAGTAAGTTTGTCTAATTTTAGACAATTCCTTTTGTCCCTCTAAGAAACAGTCTATTCAGAAGGTGCCGTGATTGTCCCTGGCAGGGAGGGTTGGTGCCCTGGACTTGGTGGAGAGAGCAGCAATGCTGTGTCCACAGGGCTGAGTGCAGCTGCCTAACAGCAGGGACTCACAGTAACAGTGGCCAGGACACCTTGGGCACATTGGCCACAGTGATGCCAGTGAGGAATATAACAGAGTCCAGGATGTGATACTGCAGGGACACTGCCATGATGAAGAAAAGGGTGCCGGTGGAGATGGCCATTCCCGCCACAGACCAACACAGTGCCCCCTCTCAGCGGCAATGGCGTCTTCTCATTTCCAACTCCTGAGATCAAGGAGGCAATATGACCAGTGGTGTGCGGTCACCGTGCCGATCGCTATGCCGTGGCGATGCCTACCAGGGAAGTAGACATTTTATTCCAGGGATGTTAGCTATGAGGGGCACACAGCCAGCTTGTAGCCCTCCCTCAGCGCTTGCATGATCCATGAGTGTGTGATGTTATGAAGACCAAACATGTGTCATCTAGGCCCTTCAGTTTCATGCTTCCTCTATGACAAGCTTTGTAACAAGGTGTCACAAAGAACAGACATGAGGCCCCAGAAGGGAGAAGGGGTGTGGGTGGGCATGCAGCCCGAGAGCTAGCAGCCTCACCTCCCAGACAGGTTGGAGAAGAGAAACAGATGTTCTTGTTCCCAAGAGGGTCTCGTGTGCAACTCAGAGGAGCGGGCCTAGGGCTCAGACTCCCCCATGACGGGCGAGTTACCCACCTAGAAGAAATGTGGAAAACAGATCAAAATTAGGCACCTTGTTCCTTGCCTCTTACACTGAGGTAGGGAAAGGTGGAACACCAGCTGCTCTAAGCACAGTCCCCAGGGCTGGTGCCCCTGCCACTTGCCCGACACCCCATAGAAGGCAGCACCTTGATATCTGCAGAGATCTGGTCTTCTCTTCAGCCTCCACAATGCCCACACCCCAGCTGCTCTGCAGCGATGATCTCCTCAGAATCTGAGATGACAAGAGCTTGCTGCAGAAGAAAGCTGTGACAGGTGCCTCATATCCTAGAAGGACCCCAGCCCTCCTCTCCAATCTGTGCTGCAGCAAACCCCAGCATGGAGGCCTTGGAACCTGAAGCTGTCACATTGGCAAGAATACAACTGAAGATGGTTTGACCTAGGAGCTGAAGACTCTAAGAACTATTCTTTCTTAAGCTCAAAGAGATGTTCTTGGAACCAGAAAAGGCTGCTGTCAGGCAGATCTAACAAAGCAAGAGCCCTGGACCTCATAGAAAGGGAAACAAGGGTGAGCTATACTGGCTGGGCATCTGGGAAGAACACTGAAGGTGTTAATAATCTGGTGAGGGTCAGGGAAATTCTAACAAGGTGATCTCCTGCTTTGAGCTCGGCAGGAGGCATCCTTTGCACCTAGAACCTTCACTCCAGCCAGCAGCTCCCTGAGCCAGGGCCAGCATGGCTTTCCTGCCTTGGACACCTGTCAGGGTTCCTGGTGAGAGGGGAGTGCTAGGTCCCCTCGCTGAGTGCATTTTGGGACTCAGACTGTCTCAGAACAGTCACAGATCAACAATCCCAGGTGGATCTCCTCTGCTTTTGGTTAAGAAACTCCCTGACCTTCTACAGGCTCCTTCCAGAAGCCCCCAGATAACTGTCCACAAATGCTGAGAGCAGGCATAGATGTTGGACAGTGATTCACATTTTCCTGGATGGGAACACGCTTGATCATCAAAATCCTGTGAGGAACAGGGTTCAGAGAGATGTAACTTGCCCAAGCTTTCTCAGACAGGGAAGGGCAGGCCGGAGCTTGAGCAGGGACTCTCGGCTCCTGGGGCCCCAAGCTCCTACTCTCCTGAGGCTTCCTCACCTGGGAGTCACCAGAGACCAGAGGAGGGGTGGCTGGCACCCACCTGAGGATCATCTTAAAGAGGTGGACACGATGTCAGTGCTTTTTATCTCTTGCCAACAAGTAAAGATCCCTATCAAAATGACAACTAGGACAAGTACATAGCCAAGTACACCTGGGTGAGGAGCAGGGGCATCAGCCAGAGAAATAGGCAGCAGCAAGGACCCAAGCCTGGAGGCTGGGGCTCTCCATAGGAGGATGTGATGCTGGCAGCTGTGACCTGGTGTAATTTACAGGCCACAGCATTCACCTATGTTAAGTGCACCATTTGTTGATTTTTTTGTAAGTTTGCAGAGTTGTGCAACCATCCTGCACTTCAGCCTCAGCATCTCAATGCTGCCAGCAGATGCCCCCTGCCCCTCTGCAGTACCCTTTGCTCCATCCGCAGTCCCGGCACCACTGATCTGCTTCCTGCCCTGTGGATGTGCCTATTCTGCACATTTCACGTCAATTTAATCCTGCGACACATGGCTGGCTGCCTCTGGTTTCTGTCTGTCAGCGTCATGTGGCGGACTCAATTTTGTGATTTGATTTCCCAGGTCTCATCAGGCACACATGCTCTCCATGTTAAAGGGAAAGGCTAGCTTGGAGGAAACAGAGCCCAAAGATACTTCACATGGATGCATATTTTCTTCCTCTTAAAAATGCAGGGTGCTTCATGTCTGTCTCTCTCTTTTGTGAAATTCATGCACAAACTGCCTGTGAGACATTGGAAAGGCAGATACCATTTCTGTTTTACAGCAGAGGAAATGACTGTTTTTCCCACACCCATGCAGTGACAGCCTCTGTTCTCCCTGTTACTGCCTGAGCAAAACCAGGAGGGGACACTCAAGAGACTTATATTGTCCAGGGACTGTTGGTAGTGCTGAATCCCACATGCGATCCAGCACAGGAGGGTGCCGGTCCACAGGAGGAGGGAGAACCTTCCACCATCTGCTTGAGGAACCTGACAATCTCTGGTGTCTGCTTGGGAGGCGTGAGGACACTGGGCCCATGGTGGGCCAGCAGCTTGGCTGCTCTGGTGCCAGAGAGACCCTGAGAAGGCCAAGCAAAGCACACGCGCAAAGACAAATAGGAAGCAGACATTTCTTCTCCTTCGGGGGTTGGGCTGCATATTTTTGCAGCTTAGGGTTAGGCATCCATGTGCCCAAAGAAGATCCTGGGAAAAGGGGGCCATGCCTCATCCCTCCAGCTGCCCACCCTTTTTGAAAGAATATGTAATGCTTAATACCAGTCAGGCAATATGCTGTGTATACTTCCTTACTTATTCTTCAAAATAACCGTCCAAGGAAGGGACCGTTTGAGGTTATCAGAACTCTGCATTTAGAAAATCACTTTTCAAGAGCCTGCATTGCCAAGTCAATCCTAAGCCAAAAGAACAAAGCTGGAGGCATCATGCTACCTGACCTTCAAACTATACTACAAGCCTACAGTAACCAAAACAGCATGGTACTGGTACCAAAACAGAGATATAGATCAATGGAACAGAACAGAGCCCTCAGAAATAACACCGCATATCTGCGAATATCTGATCTTTGACAAACCTGAGAAAAACAAGCAATGGGGAAAGGATATCCTGTTTAATAAATGGTGCTGGGAAAACTGGCTAGCCATATGTAGAAAGCTGAAACTGGATCCCTTCCTTACACCTTATACAAAAATTAATTCAAGATGGATTAAACACTTAAACGTTAGACCTAAAACCATAAAAACCCTAGAAGAAAACATAGGCATTACCATTCAGGACATAGGCATGGGCAAGGACTTCATGTCTAAAACACCAAAAGCAATGGCAACAAAAGCCAAAATTGACAAATGGGATCTAATTAAACTAAAGAACTTCTGCACAGCAAAAGAAACTACCATCAGAGTGAACAGGCAACCTACAAAATGGGAGAAAATTTTCACAACCTACTCATCTGACAAAGGGCTAATATCCAGAATCTACAATGAACTCAAACAAATTTACAAGAAAAAAACAAACAACCCCATCAAAAAGTGGGCGAAGGACATGAACAGACACTTCTCAAAAGAAGACATTTATGCAGCCAAAAGACACATGAAAAAATGCTCGCCATCACTGGCCATCAGAGAAATGCAAATCAAAACCACAATGAGATACCATCTCACACCAGTTAGAATGGCAATCATTAAAAAGTCAGGAAACAACAGGTGCTGGAGAGGATGTGGAGAAATAGGAACACTTTTACACTGTTGGTGGGACTGTAAGCTAGTTCAACCATTGTGGAAGTCAGTGTGGCGAATACTCAGGGATCTAGAACTAGAAATACCATTTGACCCAGCCATCCCATTACTGGGTATATACCCAAAGGATTATAAATCATGCTGCTATAAAGACACATGCACACGTATGTTTATTGTGGCACTATTCACAATAGCAAAGCCTTGGAAGCAACCTAAATGTCCAACAATGATAGACTGGATTAAGAAAATGTGGTGCATATACACCATGGAATACTATGCAGCCATAAAAAATGATGAGTTCATGTCCTTTGTAGGGACATGGATGAAACTGGAAATCATCATTCTCAGTAAACTATTGCAAGGACAAAAAACCAAACACCGCATGTTCTCACTCATAGGTGGGAATTGAACAATGAGAACACAAGGACACAGGAAGGGGAACATCACACTCTGGGGACTGTTGTGGGGTGGGGGGAGAGGGGAGGGATAGCATTAGGAGATACACCTAATGCTAAATGACGAGTTAATGAGTGCAGCACACCAGCATGGCACATGTATGCATATGTAACAAACCTGCACGTTGTGCACATGTACCCTAAAACTTAAAGTATAATAATAATAAAATTAAAAAAAATAGAATTAATAATACTGATTGAGACCAGGAATGGAAGTTGGGAATTGGAAACAGAGATACTTCATGATATTCCCTTATAAATTTTAACCATATGAAAATATTATCTTTTCAAAAAACAATCAATCAATGTAAATTCTACAAATATGGAATGAGCATAAATACGTACTTCTTGCAAATCTTTGGTTTTATAGCTAAAATAATTAACAGTGATTATCAAATTCTTACTACATGACAGAGACTAAGTGCAAAAAGTAGAATGGAGAACAAGATAGTAATTTTCCTGATTCTGTAAAGACAGATGAAATTATAGATGAGCACATAAAAGTTATAAGAACATCCCAGTGTCATTTGCACAGGAGAGCAAAAAATTATCATTACTATACTGATTAAGCTAACCATTATTATTCACTACCAAAGCTTATTTTATATATTATATACATTATATTTATATAAATATGTTTTATATAATAAAATATTCATATATTGTATATAATATAGTTAATACCTATTGATAAGCAACATCTTGGTTATTTTAAGGGATTAATAATGTTTCTAAATATGTTCACTTTATAAGTAAAAATAAAGTCTTGCGTAATCTTTGTCAATAAAAAAAAAAAGAAAATATTTACAGAGAACTAAGCCAACTGGTGGTTTTATCCTCATCATTTTCTTTTCCTTCATCCCTTCCTTTTTTCAAAACCCTATGAAACGGTATATGTACAAAAGAACCATGTCTAACCACAGGTTTTAATTCAAGGAAGACAGAAATTTCCCCTCCCAAATAAACCCCAATATAATGAAGCCAGTAATTCAATAAGGGAAAGAAAAATAACATTTTCTTGGAGGAAAGTTGCCTGCTAATGGGGCACCACAGTTTTCAATCTAAGCTGCCCCCAGGCATTGATAGTGGCCAAAAGGACGGATTTCCCAGAGAGTTTCCAGAAGAGGAGTCGCCAGGCACATTCTCTTTTTTCCCTGCTTTATGATTGTATCTGGTATGGTCACCAGGGAAAGTCAGGCCTTCAGCTAGTTTTGAACTGTGTGAGCTAAGCCCTGTTTCAGCTGAGACTAGCTTAGACAACATAGAGAAACCCTGTGTCTACAAAAAATAAATAAATAAAAAATCAGGCTGGGCACGGTGGCTCATGCCTGTAATCCCAGCACTTTGGGAGGCTGAGGCAGGTGGATCACCTAAGGTCTGGAGTTCGAGACCAGCCTGACCAACAAGGAGAAACCCCGTCTCTACTAAAAATACAAAATTAGCCGGGCGTGGTGGCACATGCCTGTAATCTCAGCTACTTGGGAGGCTGAGGCAGGAGAATGGCTTGAACCCAGGAGGCAGAGGTTGCTGTGAGCCGAGATTGCACCATTGCATTCCAGCCTGGGCAACAAGAGTGAAACTCCATCTCAAAAAAAATGAAAATAAAAATCAGCTGGGTGTGGTGGCACATGCCTGTAGTCCCAGCTACTCAGCGGGTTGAGGTTGGGGGATCACTTGAGCCTGGGAGATTGAGGCTGCAGTGAGCCAAGATCATGCCACTGCACTACAGCCTGGGTAACAGAGCGAGACCTTGTTTCAAAAAAAAAGACAAAAGAAGGGTCAGTGAGTTGTTGTTGATGGTTATACAGCTGATCATGACTAACTTAGATATTACTTATAATGGGTGTGATAGCTATTACTGATTATCACAGCCTGAATTGTGTCCCCTCTCCAAAAAAAAATTATGTTTGATATCCTAACTCTCAGTGTCTAAGAATGACTGCATTTCAAGATTGGGTCTTTAAAAAAATAAATAAGGTTAAATGAGTTTGTTGGAGTGGGCTCTAATCCAGTATAACTGGTGCTCTGGTAAGTAGAGGAGATTAGGACACAGACAGGTACAGAGGAAAGACCATGTGAAGGTGCAAGGAGAAGATGGCCACCTACTAACCAAGAATAAAGGCCTCAAAACAAAACAAAAAAAAGGCCTCAAGGTGTCAACCCTGCTGACACCTTGATCTTGGAGATCTGGCCTCCAGAATTGTGAGAAAATAGATTTCTGTTGCTAAAGCCACCCAGACTGTGGTACTTTGTAATGGCAGCCCTAGCAAAGTATACACTTGAGTAATAAATTAGTAGATTTGATGACATTGATATTTCCATTATTTATTTTATTCAACTAATACCTCTAATAACTATTATTATATTAAACACTCTGGATTAAGTATAGCATGAAACGTTCTACATACATTATCTGTTTTATTCTCTCAAGACAATTCTGTCATGTAGGTACTACTTTTTTCCACATTTTGTATATGAGAAAATGTCATTGATGGCTAGAAGGGTTTGAGAAACTTGCCTAAGTTGACCTGCAGGTGGGGGGCTGTGGTCTGATCCTCGGTCATCTGATTCCAGAACCCGCTTTCTGTCACCACCATCAAGGGACACTAGGATATTTTGTAGTGTTTATTAAAATCAAGAAAGTTAAGAGAACATAAACATGAGAGGTCCATGATGCCTGTCTTGAGGAGTTCACATTCAAGTTGACAAAACAAGAAATAAGTATAATTCTAGAGAAGATAGGGTAACTGCCATGTAAAACTCTCTGTCCAGAACTGATATTTATAACTTGGATGAGGGAATTGATGGCACAATTATAAATGGTGCTGAGGATGCAGCTGGAAGAGGCAACATTATTCCTTGGATAACAGACTCAGAAGGTTTAAAAAATGATTAAAAAAAAAAAACTACCTTGTCAGGCTGGAATGATTGACCAAACATAGAGAAATGATGCGCGATGAACAAATAAACTTCCAAGTACAAAAAAAAAGCTGGATCAGAACAATTAACAAAGTACTGTAGCCTGTTGTGTGAACAAAGGTCATTTTAGTTTTATGTTAGTCAGCTGTGTCACTCATTGTGGACTGAGTCATTCAACAAACATGTATAGGGTGGCTCCTAGGAGCAAGTGGAAGGAAGTCACTGCTCTCAAGGAGCTGTCAGTCCAGTAGGGAAAGAGACAAGAGGAAATCATGATCAAAGAATCTGACGGGGCTGGGCGCAGTGACTCACGCTTGTAATCCCAGCACTTAGGGAGGCTGAGGCGGGCGGATCGCAAGGTCAGGAGATCGAGACCATCCTGGCTAACACGATGAAACCCCGTCTCTACTAAAAATGCAAACAATTAGCCGGGCATGGTGGCGGGCACCTGTAGTCCCAGCTACTCGGGAGGCTGAGGCAGGAGAATGGCATGAACCCGGAAGGCGGAGCTTGCAGTGAGCTGGGATCATGCCACTGTACTCCAGCCTGGGCGAGAGAGTGAGACTCCGTCTCAAAAAAAAAAAAAAAAAAAGAATCTGACGGATGCTTTTAGATTAATCTGAATAAAGCACCTCGGTAAATGAGAGAGAAAGCAAGTAACTTTTTATAGGGTCATAATAGTATTTGAGTTGGGAAGGAGTTTGCTGGGCAGAGAACCAAGTTCATGATAATCTAGGAGGAAGAACCAGTGAGTAAATATTCAACCGTATGGAAAAGCTCTGCCCTGTTTGAAATGGCTAACATTTAAGTTTAAACACTGGCAGAGGCATAGGTTGAGGCTAAAATTTTGACTGCGACTGGGTTTTGAAGGGCAGTCCAGTTAATGCTGCTGAGTTTGGCCTTCCTCTTGTATGCAACAACAGGATAATAAAGATTTCTAGAGAGGAAACATGACCACATTTGATTTTTTGGAAGGTAATTGTTGCAAGCAATGTACAGAAAAGACTGGAGGGTGGAGAGAACAGTTTCAGGGAGATCAGTTAAGAGGTGGTTGCACTTTTCCAGTAAGAAAAGTTGCAGCCTGAGGAAAGTAGACTCTGCTAAAAATACTGATACTAATAGAACAGCTGTGGCTCTTTCCACTGTCCTGGCTCAAAGTGAAGTTTTGAACTGTTTTGTTTTTTGTTTTTTGTTTTTCTGAAACCACCCAAGTTGAGCTGCTGGTTCTCTCTGCACTACCCAGTCCTGTCGGGCATCCACGGTTCTACCCTTTCTTTTAGGGGCCTTAAAAAGTGCTGGGTTATTGAAAAATATTTATAGTAGAGTTGAGATGGGCTGACTGAAACATCAGGATGTATACGGGTCACATTTCTCCTGGGTGTCATGGAGTGAGGTGCAAACAGCGATCAAAGGAAGACCTTCACGGCGGGCAATGAAGGCAATGCTAGCAGTTCTCCTGGTGGGACGGGGAACAGCACTCCCCTGAACGGTGGTGGACAGACTTCAGCGTGGCTTGGTTCCATCACCTGCCCGACTGCCCTTGGTTTGGCTGTATTGGTCTTCTTTAGGGCAGAAACTGAGTTCTTTCCAAGTATGATCTCTGCTCTTCTCTGTGTGATCCCTGGAAGCCATGCAGGTCACCCTGACCTCGTTCTTGTCAGGTTCTCTGTCATCCTATTGACTCCCTGGAAAACCGCAACCTTAATTGTTTATTTGTAGGCTAATGTTATACCTTTATCTTTCAAATCTTTGCCTTTTGATTTTCAAAAATTGTTCTTTCAAAAATCTTGGTTCTTGTAAACTAACAGCTTTCCAAACTATCATCTTTTATGTGGACTTCAAAATATTGACTCTCTTTTTCTTTACTTTTTTTTTTTTTTGAGACAGAGTTTTGCTCTCGTTGCCCAGGCTGGAGTGCAATGGCACGATCTCTGCTCACTGCAACCTCTGCCTCCCAGGTTCAAGCAATTCTTCTGCCTCAGCCTCTCAAGTAGCTGGGATTATAGGTGTGAGCCACCATGCCGGCTAATTTTTGTATTTTTAGTAGAGATGGAGTTTCACTACGTTGGTCAGGCTGGTCTCGAACTTCTCACCTAGTGATCCACCCACCTCGGCCTCCCAAAGTGCTAGGATTACAGGCGTGAGCCACCGTACCCAGCCGACTCTCTTTTTCTTTGTGTTTGACTAAATACATTTTAAACCTCTGTTCTCACATTCCCCTTAAAAATATCTTTTAACAGTTTGCATTCTCTTTGTGTTTGAGCTAGATAAATTTTAAACTTCTGTTCTCTCATTTCCCTTAAACTAAAGATATCACTAGCAGTTTGTATCCCTATATAGGGACATGCATGATCAGACAGGTATGGAAAAGAAAAGCATACTAAATTATTTTCTAAATATAATTTATTACAATAATTCTTTTAAAAGCTAACTAAAATTATGATATCCTAGGAGGATAAAAATTACTAAAATGGACTCAAGAAGAAACAGAAAAAAGAAAAGGCTAATTCGAATGATAGAAAAAAAGCTGAAAAGGATGTCAGAGTCCTCAACTATTTCATAATAGAGATGCCCAGTTTTGTGCATGTAACCTTTGAGGTTTATATGTAATGCCTATGATTATTTTTTAAATTGCTCTGAAGCATTGGTTTTCAAAATATTGGCTGGGCATGGTGGCTCACTCCTGTAATCCCAGCATTTTGGGGGAGGCCAAGGTAGGCAGATTACTTGAGGTCAGGAGTTCGAGACCAACCTGGCCAACGTGGTGAAAACCCATCTCTACTAAAAATACAAAATTCAGCTGGGTGTGGTGGTGCACGTCTGTAATCTCAGCTACTTGGGACGCTGAGGCACAAGAATTGCTTGAATCTGGAAAGTGGAGGTTGCAGTGAGCTGAGATTGTGCCACTGCACTCCAGCCTGGGCAACAGAGCAAGACTCTGTCTCAAATAAATAAATATATATATGCACAATAATCACTTGGGGAGTTTATTAAACATATGAATTCCTTTCTCCTCTCTCCCCATCTTCTCTTTGGGACTTTGATATAGTAGTTATGGGATGGGATCTGGGAATCTGAATTTTAAACAAACAGATGCTTAGAGAACCATACTGTCCTTAGAGAAACCTGTTCTAAAGCCATAGTCTTTTTAAATATGAAGTTTGCACAAAAAATTCATTAGGATGGATTAAAGAAATAGAACTTTAGTTATTTTTCCTAATAAAATAATAAATTTCAGTTTCACTTTAATAGCATTTAACTACTTGAGCTGGCCCCCTCTCTGAGTTCTTATGTCAAATGGCCAATTCACACGCATGGTCCAACAGATATTCTTTTTTTTTTATTATACTTTAAGTTTTAGGGTACATGTGCACAATGTGCAGGTTAGTTATATATGTATACATGTGCCATGTTGGTGTGCTGCACCCATTAACTCATCATTTAACATTAGATATATCTCCTAATGCTATCCCAACCCCCTCCCCCCACCCCACAACAGGCCCCGGTGTGTGAGTTCCCCTTCCTGTGTCCATGTGTTCTCATTGTTCAATTCCCACCTATGAGTGAGAACATGAGGTGTTTGGTTTTTTGACCTTGCAATAGTTTACTGAGAATGATGGTTTCCAGCTTCATCCCTGTCCCTACAAAGGACATCAACTCATCATTTTTTATGGCTGCATAGTATTCCATGGTGTATATGTGCCACATTTTCTTAATCCAGTCTATCATTGTTGGACATTTGGGTTGGTTCCAAGTCTTTGCTATTGTGAATAGTGCCACAATAAACATATGTGTGCATGTGTCTTTATAGCAGCATGATTTATAATCCTTTGGGTATATACCCAGTAATGGGATGGCTGGGTCAAATGGTATTTCTAGTTCTAGATCCCTGAGGAATCGCCACACTGACTTCCACTAATGGTTGAACTAGTTTACAGTCCCACCAACAGTGTAAAAGTGTTCCTATTTCTCCACATCCTCTCCAGCACCTGTTGTTTCCTGAGTTTTTAACGATCGCCATTCTAACTGGTGTGAGATGGTATCTCATTGTGGTTTTGATTTGCATTTCTCTGATGGCCAGTGATGGTGAGCATTTTTTCATGTGTCTTTTGGCTGCATAAATGTCTTCTTTTGAGAAGTGTCTGTTCATATCCTTCACCCACTTTTTGATGGGGCTGTTTTTTTCTTGTAAATTTGTTTGAGTTCATTGTAGATTCTGGATATTAGCCCTTTGTCAGATGAGTAGATTGCAAAAATTTTCTCCCATTCTGTAGGTTGCCTCCAACAGATATTCTTGAAAGAAAGTGTAGGTGGCACCTGGTCCCCTCACCAGTGTGTTTGCTCTTTAAACACTGCATGGCAATTTCCAATTATGTGGGTTATACCATATAGTTGTCACGAAAGGAATCCTCACAAAATGAACAAGTGGCATGATTATATTCCTGAAGAGAAGCCACAGATTGAAGACAGAGCACTACTAGATGATGCTTTTGCTATCTGTAGTTCAAGGAAAAGATTTCATCAATCACATTATGAGTCAAACACAAGGATGATCTAATCAGATATGAAAAGCATTGGCTCAGTAATTTTAAGTGATCAGAAATGTTACTGGAAAATAGAGATCCATACACAGTATCAGCAATAGCAAATCTTATCTTAATTGGATATTGTACCTGCGAATTAACTGATAAAAGGATGAGGTCGGCCGGGCGCGGTGGCTCAGGCCTGTAATCCCAGCACTTTGGGATGCTGAAGCGGGCGGATCAGAAGGTCAGGAGATCGAGACCATCCTGGCTAACATGGTGAAACCCCGTCTCTACTGAAAATACAAAAAATTAGCCGGGCATGGTGGAAGGCACCTGTAGTCCCAGCTACTTGGGAGGCTGAGGCGGGAGAATGGCATGAACCCGGGAGGCGGAGCTTGCAGTGAGCGGAGATCAGGCCACTGCACTCCAGCCTGGGTGACAGAGCGAGACATGAGACTCCATCTCAAAAAAAAAAAAAAAAAAAGATGAGGTCTTTAGGATGCTGAGCACTTAAAATCTAAGCATCCAGAATATTATTAAAATAATTTTAATTAGAGATATGATTTGTAAATAAATGAAAATTCACATATTGTGGTAATATTTCAACAGCATTTTTTTGCTGATAAATGTGTATCATTAAACATATTAAGCGTCTTCTTTCAAGCAGCACTATTCAAAATGTGGTCCATGGGCTTCTGGTGGTCATGAACTATTTGTTACAAGTTCATGATAAATATGGCAATGACAGTCAGCATTTAGAGACTTTTACAGCAATTTGGTAGAGAAATTTAGTGTCTATTGAATGTAATCATAAAGAAATTAAACTTTTATTTTGATTGTTTGTGGCTTACTATTTTAATTTTCTACTAATTTCTTTTTGTTTTGTTTTAACCATAATAGCAGTACATAATGGATGGGAAACTGCAAAAAAGGATTTCACACAGATAATTTGAAAAACATTGTTTTAAAGCATAGAAAACAATCCTAATTTATGTATAATGTATAATATCCTAATTTATGTATAATGTATAATATCCTAGTTTATTTTATAAATTAGCTTAGCCTTGAAATAAAAACCTGACAAATATCCCACAATAAGAAACCTACAATTACATTATGAGTAAAATATTAGCAAACTCATCCAGTCTCAAATTAAAATACTAATATGCTATGACCAAGTTGAATTTTGTTTTTTTTTCTTTAACTTTTAAACTGCAGTGATGGATTAATTTTTAATAATGTGTTATTTATGTTATAGTATTGGCTTAAAAGAGACAATAATATAATTACACTGTTAAATATTCATGAAAAATTATTTCATGAACAACAAAACAGGATATTAAGCAGTAATGAGTACAACTTTTCATAATCATATATTTACTTAGTAGAAAAAATCTGAAATATTATAAACTAAAACATTTACAGTGGCTGTTTTTGTTTTGATTTATATTTTCTTCTTTTGTTTATTGCTATGTTCTAAACTTTCAATAATGCCTTTTTTTTGTTGTTTTTTTTGAGACGGAGTCTCACTCTGTCGCCAGGCTGGAGTGCAACGGTGTGATCTCGGCTCACTGCAACCTCCACCTCCCAGGTTCAAGCGATTCTCCTGCCTCAGCCTCCCAAGTAGCTGGGACTACAGGTGTGTGTCACCATGCCTAGCTAATTTTTATATTTTTAGTTGAGACGGGGTTTCACCATGTTGAAGAGATCAAGAGATCATGAGGTCTCCCAAAGTGATTGGATTACAGGCTTGAGCCATTGTGCCCTACCAGTACTTTTTTTTTTTTTTTTAAGAGACAGGATCTTGCCCTGTCACCTAGGCTAGAGTACAATGGCACGATTATAGCTAACTGCAACCTTGAAGTCCTGGGCTCAAGTGTTCCTCTTATCTCAGCCTCCCAAGTAGCTGGGACTACAGGTGTGTACCACCACTCCTGGCTAATTTATTTATTTATTTGTTGTAGAGATAGGGTCTTGCTATGTTGCCAAGGCTGATCTCAAACTCACAGCCTTAAGTGATCCTCCTGCCTTGACCTCCTAAAGTGCTGGGACTAGAAGCGTGAGCCACTGTGCCTGGACTATAACATATATAATTTTATGTAATAAGTTAAAAAATGTATAGTCATTATCGGTATAAAACATTGCGTGTGCCTGGAGTCTAAATGCCTATAAAACATGTAAGGATTTAATATTACTCACTTACAGGTTTACACGTTTTCCACCAGCTTGTTTTGGAAGTAATTTACTCAATGGCTCATTTTAGTTTCATCTTCAGGAATGAGCAATTTGTAATTGACAAAGAAAAGCAATAAAAAAACCCATTAGCACCTCTCAAACTACTGTGCATTACATGCATTTGCATTAACAAAGACAGATTTTTTGTTCTCTGAAAAGTATCAAGTCTTTTTTTCTCCCCGTGCTGTGGCCTTACTTATTTCCCAGGTAACAGGGTCCAGTCTTCTTCCCTTGAAATTTCCCTCCCCTGATGGGTCTGCCTTCTAGATAGTTCCTTTCTTTGTTTATGTGATTACTCTGAACTTCCCACCCTTCTTTACTGCCTACCTGTCGAATGCTTTTTCTAATAGTTCTAGTCATCGATAATCATCCTTGGGTTTGACTCACGTTGTGATTGATGAAATCTTTTTTTTGAACTACAAATAGGAAAAGCATCCACTTTTTTCTTTGAACACTTAAATCACATGATAGCATTATTTATTATAAAATCACTAATACTCTCTAAATGTCTTGCTGAAATAATTTAGTTCAGTAGTCCCTTTCCTTTCATGTGTATTTAGACTAGATTCCTTAAAGAAATCATAATTTCTTTTAGAAGAATACTTGTCACACACACCAAAAAACAACCCAAAGTGATTGTGTTGAGTGAAAAGAACAAGGTGAGAAATTGTGAATGTATTTAATAGTATTGCATCTTCATTCGTTCTCTCAAAAGAATATTTGCTGAATATTTACTATGTGACAGTTACTGCCGTAGGAGCTGGTGATATGACAAGGAACATACAAGATGGGATCTTTGCCATCAAGTTGCACGCATGTATACGTACATGCATATGTGCATATGCATAGACATAGAGTAAAACATCAGTCTGCAACAAAACAGATTAAGAGGACAGAGAGTGTATACTGGTTATTCTTCATCATCTATCTAGATCTATTCTCTGCCCTTTGCTGCTTGGCTCTTTGTGGCTCCTGTTTTCTATTGCTCATGAAGAGCGAATGCCCTGTTCTTTAGGAAAACATTGTTGGGCTTTTAGACGGTGGACCAGGAAGGCAGATCGCATTCTCTGTTATGGGACATTTCATCAGAAGTGAGTGGAGACTTGGAACTAATGGGACTTTTGCAGATTACTGACAGTTCTGGGGACTCAACAAAGATGGCAGTGGTGTGGCATGGTCCTCGTTCAGGAGAGGGGTGCCACCTTTTAAACAAAGGAAACAGTCAAGGGAAGCTGAGATTTATGTTCAGTACAGAAGGCTTTCTGAGGAGGTGCCCTGTAAATTGAAGTCTGATTGAATTGAGAAAGCGAGTCATTTAAATATCTGAGTGAAGAGTGTTCCAGACAGAGAAAACCACAGTGCAAAGGAAAGTGAGGAGCAGCAAGAAAGCCAATGTGGCTGATGAAGTGACTGAGGGGGTAGTGATAGGAGCTGAGGGTGGAGAGGTAGCCAGAAGCTGGCTACATAGAGTTTTTTAGGCCATATTTTGAAGACTTAACAAAAAATTATGAGTGAGGTTGGAAGGCATTCAAAGGTTTCAACTTTGCGATTTGAAAGTGACAAACTATGACTTACATTTTAAAAAGATAACTGATGGCTGTGTGGCAAATAGACTGTGAAGGGCAGAAGTGAAAGCCAAGAGGCCTATGACACTAGAAGACTAGGTGACTCAGGACAGAAAGTTGTACCGGGGTTGCAAGTGGTGAAGGTCGTGACTGGTCGGATTTAGGAAATATTTTGAAGGTAGAGCTTGCAGGATTTGGTGGATTGAATGTAGAATGTGAGAGAAAAGTGCGAAGTTCAGGATGGCTATAATGATTTTGGCCTGAATAACTGGAAAAATGGAGTTGGTATTTATTGACATGGGGAAAACTATGGGAAGAATTTGGGTGGGAAATGAAAGTTCCATTTTGGACATATTAAGTTTGAGTGCATTTCATATATTCAGTGCACATGGAGAATAGATAGTTGAATATTTGAATCTGAAGTAAAATGGAGAGATTGGTGTTGAAGGTAAGATGTGAAGCTTGTTGCTGAATGTGGCATCTAAAGCCAATTGGGTTGGACAAGATCATTTATAGATGAGCACTGAGCAGGTGCTTTGC
The DNA here is from genome assembly GCF_000001405.40 of Homo sapiens. Lineage (NCBI taxonomy): Eukaryota > Metazoa > Chordata > Mammalia > Primates > Hominidae > Homo > Homo sapiens. The sequence goes on along the minus strand of NW_025791762.1, from coordinate 409,121 downwards.
TGCATTCTGAGGATGGGAACAGGGCTTCATGGGCACAAGATCTTTGCAATCACGCAAGACCTCTTGCTCAGAAGGGCCCCATGCTTTGTTGAGTGCTCTGCTCTCACTATCTTGAAACTTTTAATAATTTTTGAATAAGAGCCCTGCATTTTCATTCTGCACTGCACCCTGCAAATTATGCAACGGGTTCTAGTTGGGAACATAAAGATCCAGCCAAAGAAAGAGCCAATGAAGTAGACCGAAAACCAAGCAAGTGTGAGGAGGTCATAAAAGCCAAGGGAGTAAATTGTGTGACATGGACAGCATGACCCACAGACTCAAAAAGATGCTGCAAGGTCAAATTACCTCAGGACTGAACATCAACCATTGGATTTAGCAACTTGGGTGTGCTTGTTGCCCATGCTGGAGTGGGTTGAAGAGAGAAGAAAAGAAAAAATGTTGAATGTGAACAACTCTTTTTTTTTTTTTTTTTTTTACAATGGCCCTGCCTCCCACAGCTTTCTTTCTTTCAGTTTTAGACGCAAAACAAAAAAGTTTAAAGGAAAATGTGACTTGAAAGGAAAGGAACAAATTTCCAAAGACTTGGGGGAGTGAATGCAGAGCCTGGTGCGGACGGACAAGGTCTGCAGACGGAGGGCAGAGGTGGTGGAAGGGGCCAGGGACCTGCAGGCCTCCCCCTGGAACTGGGACTGGTCTCCGTCAGCTGACGTCAAGGTCAGCTCCCCCGCGGAGCTGACTTCAACAGCCCACAACTGTGGGGCTTCAGCAGCCACGCCAGCCCAGCCTAGCTCTCGGTAAGTTTGGTCGTTCATGCTGAAAAATAAATATTAAAGCCTGTCCCCTGTCTACTGCCTCCCCCAACTGCACAGACGCCAGCCTCTAGGCCTGAGAGGTGGAAACACTGGCCACCAGCCCGGCAGCCCCTACAGGCCCCCCAGATGGGCTGCCTCAGTCCTCCTCTGAGAGCTGCAGATCCTCCAGCTCATCCTCCGGCCCCTGGGCCAGCCGCTGCAGCTCCCCAGGGGCCAGCCCCGCCTCTGCGTCTGGGTCTCCATCCTCCAAGTTGCTGCTGTCCTCCTCGCCCTCCTCCTTGTCCTCTTTATCCTCTTCCACCCCATGCCGAGTGCTCAGGGGCCCCAGTATCCCTCTTTCCAAGAATCCCTCGGTGTCGTCCTCTTCACAGCTGTTCAGGTCAAAGAGGTCTTTAAATTGCTTCCTGTCCTCATCCTTCCTGTCAGCCACCTTCCTTCGTTTGATCTCAGGGAAGTTCAGGTCTTCCAGCCGCTCTTTGCCACTGATCTCCAGCTGGATCTCCCGGTCATGCAGCTTGCGCCAGTGGCTGTAGTACAAGGTCAGGGGGGTCCCCTCTTCCAGGGTCAGCTTCTGCCAGGCTTCCACTGCCTGCAGAGACACCAAAGGAAACCCTCTGGCGGCGGCTGCAGATGTGTTCCGAGTTCTCCTGAACCTTCCCCAGCAGCTGCTGCACCTGCCGGCAGTAGTTGGCCACCTTGCGCTCCCGGAGGAACAACTTCAGCTGCAGGACCACAGGCAGCGCCAGCTCCGGGAAGCCGATGCAGTGTGCCTGGCTGTGCAGGTACTCCAGGGTGAGGTCGTACAGCTGCTCCACCAGGCCGTCCTGGTACGCCTTCTCCTGCAGGTTGACATTGGACAGCTTCAGGATCACGGAGAAGTTGATGGGCTTGGAGCTCATGCGCCCCGGCTTCCTGCTGAAGTCGACCTGCTGGAACATCTCCAGGATGAAAGGCAGCACTGGGATGAAGGCCCCCGAGCTCCCCGAGAGCAGCGTCAGGGCACGGATGCAGTGCATTCGCAGTGGGTAGAAGCGGGCAGTGGGGATGAGCTTGATACAGCCAATGATGACCTGGGCAAGGGAGTAGACCAAGGGCTGGAGGGCTTCGCTGGGGCCCACAGTGCTCAGGACCCGGCACCACAGGAAGAGGCAGTGCATGTACTGCCAGTTGTACACAGACGTTTCCTTCTTGCGGGTGGTCATGGCGTTGTGCAGGTGTATGGCGAGCTGGCGGATGTAGAGGAAGGCGTGCTGGTAGGCCACACCCGGCTCCAAGGCCAGCAGCTCCGTCAGGGTCCGCTGCATGGAACTGATGAAGGGGAGGGCACCAGGCGAGGTGAACTTGCAGTTCCTCACATACATGATGTACATTTGCTTGAGGATGGGGCCAAGGAAAGTGTCCTTCTTGTGCCGGCAGACTCTGCTGAGGACCAGGAAAGCCAGCACCCGCAGGGACTCCTTCCCTGTGCTCCATACGACCACCATTCTCTTGAGCACTGCTTGGGGAAGGTCAGGAAGCAGGGCACCAGCACGCTGATGTGCCATAGCACGGCCGCCAACACCACTGTCTCTGCCACACAGGACACCAGCTGTATGACCGAGCCCAGGTACGCCTTGATGTCCACACGGAGCTTCCCCCAGAGCAGGCTGCTGGACGGCTGCAGCATCCTGCTGCTGTCCTTTGCCACCTTTCCAATCAGCAGCTTCTGGAGACAGCCAGTAAGGTCTCTGATGCAGAAGGTGACCAGAGCATTGAACACGACCAGAGCATTGAACACAGCACTGTCCGTGACCTGGAATTTGTTGGCCTCAGCACTTTCCTGGTCCCCTTGGGTGGTGGCCACAGCTGCTCGGAACGCCTGTACCACTTCATGGAACAGCTTTGGAGTGAGGCGTTGCTTTGCTGCCTGCTTCCATCTCTCAACCATGGCGAGGGTCACAGGAACACAATTCTTCTTCCCCTTCAGCCCTCTGGGGACTCTGTCCCCATCTTCCCCCTCCTCTGCTCCATCCTCATCCTCACTGGCTTCCTCCAGCACATATGGCAGGGAGTGGAACGGCTCCTCTTCCTCCTCAGAGCTGTCCGAGTCGCTGAAGTTTAGCTGGCTCTGGTCATTCTCCTGCAGGAACTTGTAGAACTCGGCGTCTCTGTCCTTCAGCCGAGAGAGCTGATCTTTGTGCTCAGAGGCACGGCCTTTACGCCGGCTGGCCGAGGGGCTCCCGCCCGGCTCATCCGGACTCCGGGCAGCCTCGCGTGCCTCCCGCGTCTCCGCTTCTGGAGAGTATTCGGACTTAGAGTCAAAGCCCGAAGCTAGGAACTCGTCCACCGTCAGCTCCGCCAGGCGCCTCCTGCGGCGCCGCCCACCTGCCATGACACCAGCCCGCAGCTGGCGCCCCACTTCCGGCCCCAGAATGCCGCGCGGCTACGCACTTCCGTCGCCCAGGTCCCGCCCCGTTACCCGCCCCGCCGCGCCACGCCCAGCCGAGTGGCTCTACGGTTCTCCGACCGCAGCGCCCGCGGCCTCCGGGCGGGAGGGCGCGTTCGCGTGCTCGGTGCGGGCAGCCCCGGTGGGGCCCAGATGCGCCTCCCGCTCGGCGCCCGGCTTCGTAGGACGCGGCGACGCCGGTGTCCGTCCTGGGGAAGAGAGACCAGGAGTCCCGTCGCGCCCGCAGCCCACCCGGCGTTCCGAGGGCATGCGCCTGCGAGAACGCCAGGCTGCGACGGCGGGGCCCCTATGCAAAGAGCTCCCACAAATCAACAATAAAAAGCAGAGGGTCCAGGAGAAAGCGCAAATGGCGGTGGGAACCGCACTGATGTTGCCAGCTCGACAGAAGACGGGCGACCCGAGAGCCAGGCTGGCTTCGCCTCTGATCCGCAGAGACCAGGCCAGCGCCACGAACACCACGCAGGGCGCTCCCCGTCCATGGCCCTTTGGGTGCCGACGGCGCCTCTTCTGCGGCCTTTCCCGGGGACGCCGCATGGGGCGAATGCGGTGGGGAGGCCAGCGCCTTCCTTCCTGCTACCAGCCTGACACCCGGGCCCCCGGGCCTGGACAGCCAGACCCCGCGACAGGGTCGCCCCGGGGCGCAGGCGCGGATCCCCCAGACCTGGCGCTGAAGGGGGCGCGTGAGCCGGACGCGGCCAGAGTGCCCTCAGGGTCCCATTCGGCCTCTTGGTGCACCGGGGCCCCGTGGCTTCCCAGAGGAGAGCAAGTTAGGGGGTCGGGGGAGCGGGGATGGCTTCTGGGGGAGGAGGAGGGCGAGGCCTAGGGGTTTCTCGGAGGAGGAGGAGGGCGAGGCTTAGGGGGCTTCCCGGGAGAGGAGGAGGGCGAGGCCTGGGGGGCTTCTCGGAGGAGGAGGAGGGCGAGGCCTGGGGGGGCTTCCTGGAGGAGGAGGAAGGCGAGGCCTAGGTGGGGCTTCTCAGAGGACGAGGGCAAGGCCTGGGGGGCTTCCCGGAGGAGGAAGGCGAGGCTTAGGGGGGCTTCCCGGAGGAGGAGGAGGGCTAGGCCTGAGGGGGGAGGTTCCCAGAGGAGGAGGAGGGCTAGGCCTGGGGGCGGGGCTTCCCGGAGGAGGAGGATGCAGACCCGGGGCGCAGCGCTGGAAGGATCCGCGTCCAAGGTCTAGTCCCCAAAGCCTCTCGGGAGGCCGGGCGGGCGGCGCCGAGCGAATGTGAACAACTCTTGCAGTCACTTTTCTTGGAAATGGGAAGCTTAAAATTGGGTAGTAGCTGAGAAAGATACAGGTTCAAGAGAGGGCTTTTTTAAGATGGAGGTATGTGTTATAAATGAGGGATTAAGTACCCCTTGTGGAGTCCTTAAGGAACATTCCAATAGGCTGTGGAGATGACTTTGGGAAGGCATATGAATAAAGGATTTACTGTACTCACAGGTTCCAAAGAGGGAGGCACGACATACCTTGTGGGGATCACCTGGGCAGAGCACCAACAAAGCGGGCTCAGCCAAGCAGGTGGGGAGCCAAGGGCAAACAGGTTCCTGTGGACAGTTACCCTTATTGGGCATCAGGGTGGGGTTCACCAGCAAAGGCAGGAGGGGATATCATGGGTGTGCTTAAATGTCACTAGGCCATGGTCAGGGGAGAGTAAGAAGGGGGACTTGTGACAGGGACCAGCCTTGTCACATTGGTGTACCTGGTCATCTGGGAAAGGTGCCCACAGCTTGTTTGTAGAGATACTGAGGAATCAGGAAAATGGGAAGTTTTTAGAAGTTGCAATTCAAGATGTTACGGTACATCATTTTTCTTGGCAATGACTCATTAAAAAAGAAGAAAAAACTAATGAGGCAGGAATGGAAATAATTCCAGGAGCAAAGTCCTTTAGGAGGAGTGGGGAACAGGATCCAGTACAAAGTGGGGGGTTGGCCCTAGAAGCCAGGGAAAGCCGAGTGCATGGAGACAGATGTCTGTGCCTGCTGCATTTTGTAGAATGATCCATTCTGATTTCTCCTGTATCAAAATTGAAGCCTTCAGGTGAGAGTGAGAAGCAGAGAGGAAATGTTGAGGTTTGAATAAGAGAAGAATACGGAACGGTCGTCTAGGAGGATGGGCAAGCAAGGAGACCAGAACTGGCAGGCAGCGCAAGGGCTGCTGAACAGCCCGAGCAGTGAAGTGGCTGAAATAGGAACATCAGGTGTCTCTGGTGATTATTTCTTTTTTGTAGTTTTCTGATTTTCCAGATGTTCCCTAATAGGCATTATCTTACTTCCACAGTTATCCTTTTTTAGACTGTTACAGAGGGGTGAAAAATAGAACATATAATGTATGAGAGAGGACTTAGGATTTGGGGAGGTGTCTGGGGAAACAGAAAGAGATAGAAGACCTCATTCTGTTTGCCTGTAAAAACAATGCCTGCAATAGATGAAAAGTCCAGTTTTCTGCAGACATGTACAAAATGTTTTTGACCTTTTATTCAGGCCAACAGATTTACTCCATTTCTAGGTCTGAGCCACCAATTGGGTTTCTTCATTGAGTCTGAGTGTTTGATAGGCCAAGTGGTGGAAACTGTTCCCAAGTTCTGAAACTAGGGGAGCCTCCATTCTGGGCTCTGCAGTGGTGAGGTGCACTCTCATCCCTGCCACATTTTAGTGGGAAGCCTGGTGAGGCTCATTCAGGGACTATGAAAACATCTCTTACACCAGAACCTCACTAATCTTGTAAAGTTTGCTTATTTGTTAAAATGATTAAAAATAAACATTAGAAGTTGAGGTCCTTGATATCTGTTTTCAGAGTTTCTTAGCCACTCTCTATTTATTATATCTTAATAGATTTGCCTGATTTTTTTAAAATTTCAAATCAAGGTCACTGTTGTGAAAGGGAATTTCAGAGATAATACATTGTTATGAAGGGCCGGGCGTGGTGGCTTACACCTGTAATCCCAACACTTTGGGAGGCTGAGGTGGGTGGATCATGAGGTCAGGAGTTTGAGACCAGCCTGGCCAACATAATGAAACCCCGTCTCTACTAAAAATACAAAATTTAGCTGGGTGTGGTTGTGCACACCTATAATCCCAGCTACTCGGGAGGCTGAGGCAGGAGAATCGCTTGAACCCGGGAGGTGGAGGTTGCAGTGAGCCGGGATCATGCCACAGCACTTCAGCCTGGGCGACAAAGCCAGACTGTGTCTCAAAAATAAATAAATAAATAAATAAGTTCCTCTGAGTTATTTACCATCTTTCTGTTGAAATCTTTATTGAAATTATAAATCTCAGCTTTCAGAACAAGATGTGGTAATTAAATCCTATGACTGTTAAAACACACAGAGCTCAGCTGTGTGGACGCAGAGTAACTGCGTGGGGTGTGAGGTAGGGTGTGTGTTTAGAACTCTGCAAGTTGAAGATTTCAGAGACAAGGGCAGCTGCAGAAGTCCTGAGTTTTACACTAGGACAAAAGAGAATAGATTTTTCTCTTATGGTGGAAAGAATATTTAACCCAGCAATATGTATTTAGATGATGTCATACTTTCTTCTTGAAATATACAAACCCTTTGATGAATTTCTTTCATATTTAAACTCTTTCATAATGAATCTCTTAAATAATAAATCTTTCTAATACATTTTTTCAGTCTTTGTATTCATACACCAATGTAAATTCTTTTTTTTTTTTTTTTTTTTTGAGACAGAGTCTCGCCCTGTCACCCAGGCTGGAGTGCAGTGGCACGATCTCGGCTCACTGCAAGCTCCGCCTCCCGGGTTCAAGCGATTCTCCTGCCTCAGCTTCCTGAGTAGCTGGGACTACAGGTGCCCACCACCATACCCGGCTAATTTTTAGTAGAGTCGGGGTTTCACCGTGTTGGCCAGGATCGTCTCCATCTTCTGACCTTGTGATCCACAGACCTTGGCCTCCCAAAGTGCTGGGAGTATAGGCTTGAGCCACCACACCCGACCGTAAATTCTTAAAAAGACAGCATATTTATTAAGTTCATGTGTTATTGCTATTGGAAACAAAGACACAGTAGATAAGGAGTATTGCATGAGCACTGGATCTGAGTTGAAAACTATGCTTGGAAGACACTAACAGAACTATCTTCAAGTCCGTTAAAGGGAATTATTTGCAGCCAGGCATTTTTTTCCCTGAAGTAATATCTATGACTTCTTAGTAGATGGTCTGAAGTGGCAAGGTAGGAACTTCAGTTATTGTAGGTGAAAACCTCAAGCTATGGCTGGGCATGGTGGCACATGCCTGTAGCCTGTACTCAGGAGGCTGAGGCGGGAGGATCTCTTGAGTTGAGGAGTTTGACGCTATAGTGCACTATGATCACTCCTGTGAATGGCCGTGGCACTCCAGCCCGGGCAACATAGTGAGACCCCATCTCTAAAAAAAATTGAAAATTAAAAAAACTTTCAGATATGCTTAGAAGCAGATTTTTCAAATCCCATGGGGAAGGGCTTTAAGAAGAGTATGATCAGTAACCAGCTAAACAATGATTAAAGCATCATCTTTAGAAGATGATGAACTAAAGGAATCTAAATCTTATTGCCTGAAACTCTTTGCAGTCAGGCAGCTTAACTGGGTGTCTTTGAGAAAATTATTGTCTCATTTATCATATTTGTGCAATGAAAATAATACCTACATTGTACGCTTGTGGAATTTAAATAACAAAATATTTTATATATCTACATATCTCTTGGATATAGTACAAGTTTAAAACATTGTAGTTTATTATCAGTTTCCTGAGAGATGGCACCAATGGCAAAACGGTCACCAAAGCTATTCCTTTAGAATTAGAGGACAGTCCCCACTTCATGGACAACATGTGAGTCTATGCACCCACAGCATCCGTCAGCCTGTCCTCTCTCCTTTTTTAAAGAGCAAAACAGGAATTCTGTTGTGATTGAAGGACTTTCTGTCCATCCCTGGAATCCTAGATGCTTTGAGATACCTGCATAGAAGTTGCAGACTTTTTTCAAACACTAATGGAATAAAATACTGTCATTGCCTCTCTTTTTTCATAGCTAGCATAGAAGACTGATCTTTTGGGTGGGAATTGGGTGGGTGGCAACCTCATCCAAGGATGGGGGGCTACATAAGTTGTAGAAGACCTTGCCAATCCAGGTAGGTTGTAACTTTAGGCTCTGTGTGGCTGGTCAGGGAGTCAGTCACTGGCTTGACTCTGACCTTCCAGGAGCCTGGCAGTTGAAGAGGATCTCAGGGTGATCTGATAGAGAACTGCAGAAGGTGAGAGTCAAGTTAGCCTCTTCCAGACTTATTACAGTCCCCTAAAGCATTAATGACCTTTTTGCCTAAAGCTGATACATGGACATTTTTAGTTCATTGACCTTCAAATAATTACAGCTGTTTGGAAAGCTCTTGGTCATAGAAACTGGTAGTACTTCCAAACTTTTCAGTGATGTTTATCATCTTTTTTTTTTTTTTTTTTTTTTTTTTTTTGAGATGGGGTTTTGCTCTTGTTGTCCAGGCTGGAGTGCAATGGCGCGATCTTGGCTCACCACAACCTCTGCCTCCTTGGTTCAAGCAATTCTCCTGCCTCAGCCTCTGGAGTAGCTGGGATTACAGGCATGTGCCACCACGCCCGGCTAATATTGTATTTTTAGTAGAGACGGGGTTTCTCCATGTTGGTCAGATTGGTCTCGAACTCCCAACATCAGGTGATGCCTCCGCCTCGGCCTCCCAAAGTGCTGGGATTACAGGCGTGAGCCACCGCACCTGGCTGATGTTTATCATCTTAATAGCATCTGTCCTTTAACCCTGCACACACACTCCAAAAAAGTTAACTAAAAGAGACAATGATTAATTTTATATTCTGATGTTTTCTTATGAACACATTTGTGGCCACTTTAGTGTCCAGCAAAGCATTTCTTTGGCGAGTGATTTAAGGAGGGGTGGAAAGTGGAATGGAAGAAGTCTCTGGAAAGTCTTTAACACTGAGACGTATTTTCTCCCTGTTTGACTCCAAGGAATTTCCACTCATGGAATCTGGCCTATTAGAAAGAACTTTTTCCTTTTGTACTTGATTCAACTTAATAAATTATGTTAACCAGCTATGGTGAATGATGAGCATTCCTCAAACCACAGAACAATAGGCTTCATCGTTGAAGCTCTAAAAGAGCAGGGATCTATCTGTTCCAATTCTCTTCTGCTGGGCACCATCTTCTAGCTCTGCTGCAGTCTCTCATTCATAATTCTTCCCCTAGACCAAGTTCTTCTTTTTTACTGACCTCTAGGACACCTGGCATGCATTCCTCTTCTGACTGCCTTTGTTGGCCTGAATGCTGAAATAACATCACTGAACTAACATCTCCTAAAGAAGACATTTGTCATCAGAGGCAAATCCTCAGTGAGGATTAACCTGTCTTTAAAAGATCATGGGTAAATCAGCACAATCTGAAAGATTCAGAGCTTTTTTACCTTTCTCTCTGCTAGGCACAGTGATTACCATCTCCAGCCTTATTCTTCACAGCCACTCAATCGTGGTCCTTGCAGTTTTGCTTCACTCCACATACACCATTTCATTTCCCTTCCCACAGTCACTTCCTAGAACAGATATAGAGGGAGGCCCTGCTTTGCATGCTAATGAGGGACCACAGAAATGACTGCAAACAGAAAATGGAACGCGATCTCGTGCATCAAAGGGGAATGTTCTGACTGTTCTGTGACTTTTAAAAATATGTTGTCAAAACATTAAAAACTATTGTAGGTTATAAATGTACAGGAACATTTTCAAAAATAGTAAAACTAATATTTAGTATAGTGTAATTTAAAACATCAGAAACACGAATCAATATTTTATTTCTTTGTAAAAATCTTATGGAGTATAGTTTGAATGAAGCTGGCCCTCCTCTTCTTGTAGTATACTTACAGTGCAGAGTGAGCTATACCTTGACAAACTGTCATTCTCCTGTCTAAGTTTGAATCAGCTTCCAACTATTTATTCTTTGTGCTTTCAATGTCATGAAATACCTCTGATAATTCCGTTAATGTGAGTTTTGTTTGTTTTGTTTTGTTTTGCCATGTCACTTTCTTGGGACATCTTTATCCTAAAATGAATGAACACATCTATTTTCATTTATGTTGTTAAGTCTGCCTTCCCTAAGTTCCTCTGGAATGCCTCAAACAGTGGCAAATTACCTCCAATAGCTATTTCTTCCATAACTCCATTTACACTCAATTTGAATTTCACTTTCAGAGTATACTAGTCAGTGTTCTCCAGAAAACAGTATACGCACACACAGAGGCATAAATATTTATTTCATCTTATATATATGAAGATTTATAAGATCTATAAAGATTTATATAAGTATATATAAAGATTTATTTTATTATGGAAATTGGCTTACACAATTAGAGAGGCTGAGAAGTTCCACCATCTGCATTCTGGAGAACCAAGAAAACCAGTGGAATAATTCAGTCCAAAGTCCAAGTCCAAGGCTGGAAAACCACAGTGCCAGTGTCCAAGTGCTGGAGAAGATGGATATCCCAGCTCAAACAGGGGGAGTACATTTGCCCTTCCTCCACCTTCTTGTTCTATCAGATGATGCCCACATTGGTGAGGGTGATCTGATCTTTACTCAGTCTACTCATTTACATGGTAATGTCTTCTGCAAACACCCTCACAGACACACCAGAACTAATGTTTTACCAGCTGTCTGGACATCCCTTAGCCAAGTTGATGCATAAAAGTAACTAGCATTCAGAGTTCTCTATTTTTATTTGCTGTGCTTTTATCTTTCTGACACTTCACTGTTGGCCAGTTTTCTCTTTTGATTAGCCATTATTGAAAATGTTATGCAGGTTTATCACTGGAAGAAAAGGAAAAAACACAGCTGCATGGTTTGTTGCCAGTGTGTGAATTGAATAAAAGATGTGGGGCCGGGTGCGGTGGCTCACACCTGTAATGCCAGCACTTTGGGAGGCTGATGTGGGCGGATCACGAGGTTAAGAGATCGAGACCATCCTGGCCAACATGGTGAAACTCTGTCTCTACTAAAAATACAAAAATTAGCTGGGCATGGTGGCACCTGCCTGCAGTCCCAGCTACTTGGGAGGCTGAGGCAGGAGAATCACTTGAACCCAGGAGGCAGAGGTTGCAGTGAGCCGAGATTGCGCCACTGCACTCCAGCCTGGCGACAGAGGGAGACACAAGACTCCGTCTCAAAAAAAAAAAAAAAAAAAAAAAAAAAAGATGTGTGGTGACCAATCACCAATAGATATTGAAATAAGTGACATGATTGGTCACTGATCATAATGCGCCTCTGGTATACATGCAGCAATTTATGGGTTGAAGGTCTAGCAGTGAAGTTTCTCCTTTATCCAATTATTCATAGTTAATAGACCATAGCAACTGATATCAGAACTGTGTTGTTGGGGGACTGGTGTCATTGGACTAAACTGTGGTAACTGAAATCTGTGTAATACTGGAGCTGTGCTAAGCAAGGATGGACTGATTATTACTAGGACAACTTTCTGGCTTCTCTTTTTATTTTTAGTGCATCTAATTCATCTGACATTTAATCGATCCAGATTTTCTTCCAGGATGACTAATACCTTAGTCATCTAACCACTCAAGGACCTCACAATATCTTACATGTAGTTTTCACCTAAACTAGGGTATAACAATTATAACCATCTTCCTGGTCATCCTAAGCATGTATACTGCAGTTATATCCTAAGATTTCATCTCTATTAAGCTCCAGGGAGTAATAGGTGTTCTTTAGCCCTCTGCAGGATTAGAGAATTGAGGCTGCTTTGTTACTGTTGTTGTTCACAATAAACTTCCATAGGAAGTGAGTTACAAGACTCTAGACCTTTGTTAATCCTGAACTTTCTGGGCATCTTGTCTGAGTGATATATCTTCAGTAAAGTGTATCCTAAGAGCTGTCCTTTCTGTTTCCTTGGCCTTCTTCACAAGCCTGCTCTCCAAATACCCCCACTCTGGGAGACTGACTAGCTCCCAAGTTGGAACACAGAGTTCTCAAGCTTGTTGCTTTGTAGGTGACACCAACAGAGGAACTTCTGCCTGATGTTCTATCTGCTAACTCCGAAATCAGAGTCTGGAAAGAGTAATCTTGCCTTGCTTATTTAGTCAAGGATACCTCTCTTCTTGGTACTGCTATAGAGGGATGTAAATGCCTCTTCTTCACAGTTGACTTCGGTAGCTGGGAAATACGACAATATCTCTAAATATTTATTTGTATGTAACACAAAACTCCTGCAAAAGAATAAGAGATAAACAGGCAGAGGCTGTTCTGCCTTTTTATACTGAGCCCCCAAAGAAAAACCTGTGGTGTCATGCTGGGCAGAATTTTGTAACTATTTTGACCAATAGAGTATAATGGAAGTAATGCCATGGTGCCCTCCAAGATCGATAGTAAGAACACCTTGCACTTCTGCCTTGCCTACTTAGGACATTTGTTCTTAGAACCCATCTGCTATACATGCTGTGAGGAGGACAGAATAACCCGTGTGCAGAGGCTGTGCAGAGGCAGTTTGGCCTGTAGTCCATCTGAGGTCCCAGCCAATAATCAGCATCAACTACCAGGCATGTGAATGAAGATACACACAGGTGATTCCTGTTCCCAACTGCTGTCACACCTAAACTTTGAGTCTTCCAAGCAAATGCCCCAGATGTGGCATAGCAGACATATAAGCAGTCTGCCCTGTGTCCAGACTAAACTCCTGACCCATAAAATCTGGGAATACAAATGTTGTTATTTTAATACAATTGTATGGCACTGAGATTGGGGTGGTTTGTTATGCAGCAATTATAACTGGAACAAGAACACTTGACCCTGTAAGACACTTGAAATTATATGAGTTATGACATCAGTAAAGTATCTTTTCTTATCTACACTTTCTGTTGTAACCACAATGCATATGGATAATTTGTGAAGTGAATAAGGACATGGTGAAGGACTGATTCCAAGTGGCTGGGAGAGGGAAGGGTGTGCTGCATGAATTTCATGTTCTTAGATACTAGTGAGAAGAGGCTGTAACACATTAATCACTCCCCTTCTCTCACTCATACAATGGTAGCACTAGTAGCACATTATCTTTTCTTGTGAAAGTGTTGCATTAAGAAATTTCTTTTGGAGTAGCCCCCAAACTGTAACAGAATGTGACGTGATAATTTCCCACCGTCTTCAAGTACTGCCAAGATGTAGAAGTCTCCTTACTCCTTGTAGACAAATGGTTGCTCCTTGGAGGGGCCTATTTGAATTTTTTTTGTTTTGTTGGTCTTTTTTTTTTTTTTTTGAGACAGGGTCTCACTCTGTTGCCCAGGCTGTAGAGCAGTGATGCAACCACAGCTCACTGATGCCTCGGCCTTCCAGGCTCAGTTCCTCCCACCTCAGCCTCCTGGGTAGCTGGGAATACAGGCATGCACCACAAAGTCTGGCTAATTTTTTGTAGTTTTTCATAGAGATGAGGTTTCCCCATGTTGCCCAGGCTGGTCTCGAACTCCTGGGCTCAAGCTGTCCACCCACTTCAGCCTCCCAAAGTGAGCCACCTTTCATCTCCTCATCTCATCTTATGACTCTGTGCTTGAACTGGTGTATTTAAAGATTAAGGACCTTTCTGACCAATGTCAAATGAACCATCCAGATTGTTCTGGCTCTCAGAAAGATCAGAGGCAGTCTGAATAGCAAGTAAGGATCAAGTCAACCACCAATTCACCAAACAAAGCCAAAACATTGGCGTCAAGGAATAAGCCAATTGCTGACATAAGTACCTGCTGCCCCAGAAGTTACTTGTTTCAACTATTTGAGTTCAGCACATTATCGCAATTCTAAATACTTAAGGTATCTTCAGCAAGTGAATGCAACTTATAACTTGTTCTTCCATCCTCGGGTAAGTGGGGGAACCATTTGCCATTTTCAGAGTAAATTCATCTGAGTTAGAAGGAAGCCCCTATAACATCAACAGAAAGCAAATTCTATAGTTAAGTCTCTCAACCATTAAATTTTAGGATTATATTCTAGTGGTACTTCTTAGAAAAAAGAAAGAAAGTTTCACCTATGAGATAAATTAGAGGACAAAGTGTTACTTCCTGTCTTCTTGCAATCTTGGCCGGGCACCGTGGCTCACGCCTGTAATCCCAGCACTTTGGGAGGCCGAGGCGGGCGGATCACGAGGTCAGGAGATCGACACCATCCTGGCTAACACGGTGAAACCCCGTTTCTACTAAAAATACAAAAAAATTAGCTGGGCACGGTGGCGGGCGCCTGTAGTCCCAGCTACTCCGGAGGTTGAGGCAGGAGAATGGCGTGAACTCAGGAGGCGGAGCTTGCAGTGAGCCGAGATCGCGCCTCTGCACTCCAGCCTGGGCGACAGCGAGACTCCGTCTCAAAAATAATAATAATAAAATATAAAAATAAAAAATTGTCTTGACCATCTTGGGGTGAAACAGCTGGAGATTAAAGGAAGAAATGGCTGCCGAGCACAGTGGCTCACGCCTGTAATCCCAGCACTTTGCGAGGCCGAGGCGGACAGATCCCGAGGTCGGGAGATTGAGACCATCCTGGCCAACATGGTGAAACCCCGTCTCTACTAAAAATACAAAAATTAGCTGGGCATGGTGGCGTGTGCCTGTAATCCCAGCTACTCGGGAGGCTGAGGCAGGAGAATCGCTTGAACTAGGGAGTCAGAGGTTGCCCTGAGCCGAGATCGCACCACTGCACTCCAGCCTGGTGACAGAGCGACACTCCATCTTAAAAAAAAAAAAAAAAAAAAAAAAAAAGAGCGGGGGACGGGGGCGGAGGGGGGTGGGGAAGAAATGGCAAGGCTCTGGGAGGAATAAAAAGAAAAAAAAAAAAAAAAAAAAAAAAAGAAAGAAAATAACCAGAATTATATCTTTGTTAAACGAGGGGCCAAAACCAGAAAGCTTTGTACAAGGTTTTGTGTCTTGGCAGCAAGCATTGCCCTTACAACATAGAATGTCATTGCAATCATATGGTATCAGTAACCAATGAATTACGGCCAGAACACCTAGGACCTGTTCTTCTAGACTTTAGATGTGAGTTCTCCTTCTCACAAATCTCAAATGCATGTTCATTCTGAACACTGGCTGGTTTTTTTGACCCTTTTTGCTGACCTGAGAGGGTTATATAGCTAGAGTAAGACTGAAACTATTGCCTGGAACATCCCTCAGAGTGGCCAAAATATTTCCTTTATGACCATAAAGCAATTCCAATTCACATTGCTTTCTGTAATAGAGCTTTCCTTTCCTTCCTTCCTTCCTTTCTTTCTTCCTTTCTTTCTTTGTTGACAGAGTCTCCCTCTGTCGACTAGGCTTGAGTACAATGGTGCTATCTCGGCTCATTGCAACCTCCGTCTCCTGGGTTCAAATGATTCTCCTGCCTCAGCCTCTGGAGTAACTGGGATTACAGGTGCACGCCACCATGCCTGGCTTGATTTTGGGGTTTTTAGTAGAGATGGGGTTTCACCATGTTGGCAGGCTGGTCTCAAACTCCTGACCTCAGATGATTCACCTGCCTCAGCCACCCAAAGTGCTGAGATTACAGGCATGAGCCAGGCATAAGCCAGTGCCCAGCCTGTAATAGAGCTTTCTGGACTACTGAGTTCTACAGTATTTTCCTGTATGATTATTTTCAATTTCTGTCTCAACACTTGAGGTAGGCTCTTTCAATAAGGCCCAAACACACTACCAATTAATAGCATTATGCTGTGCTTCTGATTTAAACTTTGGTCCCAGAACCCAGAAATGGGAGCCTGTGTCTATTATCTGTCTCATTTTTAGTGGTCTTTGTGGTCTGCATGGTGAAGATGTAAAAGCTTTAACTAAGATGTAGGAATGGAGAAAAGAAAACCAGGAGAGGACTTGCTTACATTCTAAAAGTGGGTTGTAGGGGAAGAGGAAGCAAAGCTGAGACTTCTGAGTAACTGGACTTATGCTAAGATGCCTAACTGAGGTGGGGGATGATTTAGTTTTGGATGGTTACATGGTAAACTAAAGAAAAATAGTATTGAAGTGAGACAAACATCTAAAAGCTTTATAATACCTTAATTTGATTTTTTAAAAATTATACTTTAAGTTCTGGGGTAAATGTGCAGAATGTGCAGGTTTGTTACATAGGTATACATGTGCCATGGTGGTTTGCTGCATCCATCAACCCATCATCTACATTAGGTATTTCTCCTAATGCTATCCCTCCCCTAGCCCCCCACCCCCAACAGGCCCCAGTGTGTGATGTTCCCCTCCCTGTGTCCATGTGTTCTCATTGTTAACCTCCCACTTATGAGTGAGAACATGCAATATTTGGTTTTCTGTTCCTGTGTTAGTTTGCTGAGAATGATGGTTTCCAGCTTCATCCATGTCCTTGTAAAGGACATGAACTCATCCTTTTTAATGGCTGTGTAGTATTCCATGGTGTATATGTGCCACATTTTCTTTATCCAGTCTATCATTGATGAGCATTTGGGTTGGTTCCAAGTCTTTGCTACTGTGAATAGTGCTGCAATGAACAAACATGTGCATGTGTCTTTATAGTAAAATGATTTATAATCCTTTGGAAATGTAAATCCTTATAATCCCAGTAATGGGATTGCTGGGTCAAATGGTATTTCTTGATCTAGATCCTTGAGGAATCACCACACTGTGTTCTACAATGGTTGAACTAATTTACAGCTTCACCAACAGTGTAAAAGTGTTCCTACTTCTCCACATCCTCTCCAACATCTGTTGTTTTCTGACTCTTTAATGATCACCATTCTAACTGACATGACATGGTATCTCATTGTGGTTTTGATTTTTTAAAGAATTCTACATTAAACATCTTGATGAATTACTAAAGGAATTTCTGTTGGTAAGAGAAAAAGCATGACTACTTTCACTGAGAGTATTCAGTACTGTTCAGGTTTTATTCCCAGTGCAATATGACAGGAAAAATGAAATATACATATTAGAATGAAACATCAATTACACAGCCACTGATATAATTTTCAGAAAATGAAATTAAAAATTAATAAAAACAATGAGTTAAGAGGACAGATAAAAGATAAAATGAAACTCAAAAGAATTCTCATGAATCAAACTGAATCAAATTGAATTTGTACAAGCAAAAAGTTTCTATTCACATTGAAAACTCTAAAATATCTTGATATGCACTTAGAAAAAGTGAGCATTCCCTATGCAGATAAATCTACAGAATGTTACTTGGACTACAAGAGTTAGTTAATGGAGAGACATCATCTGACTAGATGAGAATATCCAGCATTATTTATATCTTGATTATCTCAGCCTCCTCCAAATTAAATATGTTTAATACAATTTTAATCAAATTATTGTTTTTTTTTCTTCGAACGTCAGTGCTTGACTTCAGATTTCTTTTGGAAGAAAAATGTATACGAATACCTTATATTCGATAAGAATGTGAAAAGATTTGCTCTACTATGTATCAAAAAATGTAAAGCTAATCGAAACAAAATTGAGGGAAAAGCTATATTATAAATATTGATTAAAATCATTATAAAAAGCTTCTGCAATGGAATTACTATTCCATGGCAAAGCATTTCAACAGACAAGTCACAAAAAAAGAAAGAAGAGTAGGCTCTTCAAATGAAAAGCTGCTCAACTTTCTTCCCACAACAAAGATGTGAAACAGATAATTAGGGTTTGATCATTGGTTCTTTTGTTTTGTTTTGTTGGTTTCTCTTTTACATATAAGAGGTTTAACAATTTGACACCCAGTGTCTTTAAGACAGAAATGTCACTTATGTCAGTGTTAATGTAATTTTGGAGGAACAAACATTGGGTTGTATCTATAAAGTGTTCTTAGTTTTTTTGTTTGTTTGAGATGGAGTTTCACTCTTGTTGTCCAGGCTGGAGTGCAATGGCACGATCTCGGCTCACTACAACCTCCGCCTCCTGGGTTCAAGCGATCCTCCTGCCTCAGCCTCCCCAGTAGCTGGGATTATAGGCGCACACCCTGACGCCTGGCTAATTTTTGTATTTTTAGTAGAGACGGTTTCACCATGTTTGCCAGGGTGGTCTCGAACTCCTGACCTCAAGGTGATCTGCCTGCCTCGGCCTCCCAAAGTGCTGGGATTACAGGCGTGAGCCACCGTGTCTGGCCAAAAGTGTTCTTAGTTTTTGACCTAGCAATTCCACCTGTAGAATTTTTTTTTCTATAAAACAGACATATATAAAGATAAAAGATAGGCTGGGCACAGTGGCTTATGCCTGTAATCCCAGCACTTTGGGAGGCTGAGGTGGGCGGATCACCTGAGGTCAGGAGTTTGAGACCAGCCTGATCAACATGGAGAAACGCCATCTCTACTAAAAATACAAAATTAGCTGGACGTGGCGGCGCATGCCTGCAATCCCAGCTACTTGGGAGGCTGAGGCAGGAGAATCACTTGAATCCAGGAGGCGGAGGTTGCGGTGAGCCGAGATTGTGCCATTGCACTCCAGCCTGGACAACAAGAGCGAAACTCCACAAAAAAAAAAAAAAAAAAGATGCTTATGATCCGGCGGATCCTCTCCTGGGGAGACCAGGCCGGGGAGAGGGCGCGGGCGCCCAGTGGCGGGGGCAGCGGGCAGGCGCAGCGACCGGGGCCGGGGCGGGGATCCTGGCGGCGACCGCCGCGGCGGCAGCGCCCCGGGCCCGCCGCCCCCTCCCCTCCGGCGAGGGGAGCCGCTGGATGGGGCCGGTCGGGGGGCGGCCCTGCGGCGCAGAGCGGCGGCGACGGCGGCGGACTCCCCAGGCGGGCTGGGGCTGAGCCCGGGGACCGGGGCGGGGGCTCCGGGGGGACCATGCCCGGAGGCCGGCGGGCAGCAGCGTGGCTCACGGGCCTGGCGCGCTGATGCTCAAGTGCGTGGTGGTCGGCGACGGGGCGGTGGGCAAGACGTGCCCACTCATGAGCTATGCCAACGAAGCCTTCCCGGAGGAGTACGTGCCCACCGTCTTCGACCACTAAGCAGTCAGCGTCACTGTGGGGGGCAAGTAGTACCTCCTAGGACTCTATGACACGGCCGGACAGGAAGACTATGACTGTCTGAGGCCTTTATCTTACCCAGTGACCGACGTCTTCCTTATATGCTTCTCGGTGGTAAATCCAGCCTCATTTCAAAATGTGAAAGAGGAGTGGGTACCGGAACTTAAGGAATACGCACCAAATGTACCCTTTTTATTAATAAGAACTCAGATTGATCTCCGAGATGACCCCAAAACTTTAGCAAGACTGAATGATATGAAAGAAAAACCTATATGTGTGGAACAAGGACAGAAACTAGCAAAAGAGATAGGAGCATGCTGCTATGTGGAATGTTCAGCTTTAACCCAGAAGGGATTGAAGACTGTTTTTGATGAGGCTATCATAGCCATTTTAACTCCAAAGAAACACACTGTAAAAAAAAAAAGAATAGGATCAAGATGTATAAACTGTTGTTTAATTACGTGAGAAACATCTTCAGTGGCCAAGGAAACTGGCCATTTCTCTGAGAAAGCAAATGAAATGCTACAGCTATACCCAGACCTTTTATAGGTAATGAAGCAGTTCAAAACTTGAAAGAAAACAAAACCTGTCCCCAGAATTCCATAAAGTTTATTAAGAATGTTCCTTAAAGGTTTAAGAAGCAGTAAGCAGTATCTGAAGCCACAATCTACTATAAATACTTTATTTCAACTAGAAGGTACAATCTCTCAGGGGTTTCATAGTTTAAAAAGCTACAATCACATCATGTAACTACGTAAAAAACAGAGCTGTAAATGGAACTGCTTGGCTTTGACCATACACATTTCTGCACAGCCCTTACAGAATCTGCACAAAGAAATATCTCCCTTTGTTCCAGTTAATTGTTCTTGTATGTAAGTTGCTTTCTATTCCAGTATATCCAGAGTGGTGAAATAACAAGGCCAGCCACATAGCCAAAGGTCGCTCCAAGCGTACAGGAGATGGGCCATACCTGAGGAGAGAATGTATGAGATCAAAAAAGAACAAATGTTTTATTATTACTTGAGCACAAGTGTAACCTAAATATTTCTATATTAAAGCTTAATGTGCTTTCTTAAAGAATGCCTAAAGTGTAATAAGGTCATAACTGCATTTATCATGAACACTAAAAATGTACACATTTTAGTTAATGTGCATTAAACTGTAACAAGGCTTCGGGCAATTGTAGATTTAGTTTGACGCTCCCCAAAGTGCATGAGACACATGCTAAAATTACAAATTAAAATTTTGGGTCAGACTTTGCCATAATGCTGGACTCAATTTAGCTCTCTGAACTAGATGGTAATTTTTTTTTAATTCCCACTTTGGCTGTGTACATCAAATGAAATGAGAAGTGTGTATGCTGACCAAACCACAAGAAACTTTAAGTTGTGTTAAAGAGGAAAGACCTAGAATCCAAGCATGTTACATGAAAATTGTAACAGAGCAGCTGCTTCCACCTTTCAGATATAGATGTTGGGACCACAGCAGAAGTTATAGAGCGAGAACTTATATACACACCTAGAATGTAAGTTAAACAAAATACCGGCTTCCGGAGACCCATTTTCTCCAGCCATATTACATTAGGCTAGAAGTAATTAATGTTGATTTATTTCATCTACAAGCAGTTGGTCCCTAAGTGACAGGCTCTGCTTCAAAAAAAAAAGTTGGAGAAAAATTTTCATGTTCTTCTGTGAAGCTTATTTGGTACACTGGAGCCTTTTCTAATCTTTCTCTCGGGGGAACAGGCTGCAGAACTGTGTTAGAGGTGAACCATCTTAATTACTAGTTCTATTACCTAATTCAGCTTCCTTGTTTGGTCTGCTGTGGATCTGCCTTATTGCATATGCCATGCATCAGATAATGGTGTTAGACAAAGCTTCATTGTGAACAACCTAATGCATTTTAGAGAAACAATCTCATCTACACATTTTTTTCTAGCCTTTCCTACATTTAAACTTGCTGTTGCCTAAATTATAATTTTTTAAATGTCTTTGGTGGGCTTCTGTTAATTCATGTGACTTGAGCTTATAGCTATGTCTACTGCACAGATTGGGTAATGGAACACTAAACTTTTATACTTGAAAATGACAGCCTTAAATGCTCATATCAGTCACAAATCTAGGATGTACTGTCTTGTTGTATGTGAGCTTTGTAGAGATTTGTAAAAATATAAGCATCACCTTCGCACTGAAGAGTGGAGAGAGTCTACTGGATGACTGGCCAGGAACTTTCTCTCTGAATTGGACATTTGGATGTCTTCTTTCTTCCAAGAAATGGTGGTTCACATTAAAGTATCATGGCCTTATGTATGCTCAAATGGAATCTTATGTAAGTTTCTTAATTTAATTTTGGTCTGCTATTTTTAGATAAAATTGAAAGGAATTGTATAAATCAATTAACATATTAGCTAAGTTGTCCAACACATGTTATAAATGAATTACAACAGTAAACTATTATACATTTCCAAAAAAAAGATATATTGCACAATGTTCACTGCTATATAGTGTACAATATCAAAAATTGGAAACTATCTTATATATTATAATTTATTTCAGTTATGAGTGGTAGAAAAACCATTGTAGCTCTTGTCAAAACCTGCATAGGCAGTCTAAGGTAAATATAACACTTGATTTTATCAGGGCCCAGGTTCCTTCTGTCTTGTGGCCACTGTATGAGCCGCAACCCCAAGGTGGAAGATGGCAGTATATGTTTATACACAGCAATGAGGAAGGGAGATAGGAAAGCAAAGTGTGTCCCTTTAGGAAAGATCTTGGAATCTGCCATGCCATATTTCTACTACATCCTGTTACTAAGAACTTAGGAACATGATTGCACCTTTATTGGTAGTCTTTATTCTGGGCAGCCATCTGCCTAGCTTAAAATGTGGAGGGTCCATTACCATAGAGGAAACAGAGAATGAATTTTAGCAAACAACTAGTGGTTTCTGCCACATGACTAAATGACCAACAAGGAAACATATTACAAGACATCATACAATTAACCTCTATTCAGTTGTTACAGACTCAAGCAACTCTACATGAATTGGCATGTGAACTTCTTGCAAAACAGGGTGTTTATTAAACAGTTTTTAAAAAGTGTGTGAAAAGCCTGCATATGTCCACCGAAAGACATGTAAAAATGCTTATTCCTTTATTATTTGTAATATCCCAAATTTTGAAATGCCACAAATATTCACCAGAAGTACAATGGATAAGTAAAGTGTAGCATATTTATCTAGTTAAATACCATAGGTTATGGGAATGAACAAAGTGTTGCCTGATACAATAATGTGGATGACTCCTAATGTTGCAGCAAAAGAAGACAGGCACAGAACATATAATTTACAACCCCACTTACATAAAGTTTAAAAACAAGTAAAATTAACCTACAGTGCTAGAAAGCAGAATAAAGTCAAGGAATGCTAGTGTCAGGAAAGGAGAAAGCAGCCTTCTGAGGGGCTTCTGAGGGGCTGCTAATGTTCTATTTCTAGAACTGGGTGTTGGTTTTTGGGGCATATTCACTTTGTAAAAATTCACCAGGTTACATGCTGTGATTTGTGCAATTTGTTGTATGGATGTTACACTTCAGTATGATTGCAGAAGCCTAGCTTATCTAACTGAGGTACTGACAGTAATTCTCAAAATGGAAGGTGGGCTCTCGTGCCTGGACAGATGTCCTCACTGCAAGCTGGCATGCAGGGACCAGGTGAGTGGCTTCTGGTCACCAAGGGCAGCTGTGTCACTTGGACATGAGGGCAGACCCCAGGTGAGAGCATCAGTAGGACAATGCTGTGTTACTTCCTGCGGTTCTGTGCTGGCAGCCACAGAAATTGATGGGGACGCTTCCAGCTTCAGTGCTTGTGTTTCTTGCTCACTAGCTCAGCTGGTCTGTAATAACAAAGAAATGAATAGTGGGATGAAGACATATTCCACAGGATTCAGACTCTACTTACAAGTTCTTTACTTAAAAAGTGCACTCTTGGCCGGGCGCGGTGGCTCACGCCTGTAATCCCAGCACTTTCGGAGGCTGAGGCAGGGGGATCACGAGGTCAGGAGATCGAGACCATACTGGCTAACACGGTGAAACCCCGTCTCTCTTAAAAATACAAAAAATTAGCCAAGCATGGTGGCACGTGCCTGTGGTCCTAGCTACTCGCGAAGCTGAGGAAGGAAAATCACTTGAACCTGGGAGGTAGAGTGAGCCAAGACAGCGCCTCTGCACTCCAGCCTGGGCAACAGAGTGAGTCTCTGTCTCAAAAAAAAAGAAAAAGAAAAAAAAATGCACTGTGTCTGGCCCAGAGGTTCCCGTGGTTCTTATTCCTGGATCCCATCACCCCTCCTGTCTCTACACAGACCCCCACTCCACTCCCAGCTGGCCGCCTACCCAAGCACCACTGCCCTTGGCATCCTTGGCTAAAGTGGTGACTGCATGGGCAGGTGGAGTCTGACAAG
This sequence comes from Homo sapiens, assembly GCF_000001405.40. Taxonomy (NCBI): domain Eukaryota; kingdom Metazoa; phylum Chordata; class Mammalia; order Primates; family Hominidae; genus Homo; species Homo sapiens. Next base: position 385,436 of record NW_025791762.1, on the reverse strand, counting down.
TCACAGTGACCACCAGCAGTGGGAGGTCACTTGGCCTCACCTGTAATTCACAGCCCTGACCACACCCTCTGGCATGTGAGTTTATCCACAAGTAACAAAGCTGAGATGAGACAATTTCACTACATAACTTGCTCACGCGGCATCCTGTGGTATGCTAGCATTATTAACACTGGAAGTTCTTTTGAAGATTTAGAAAGTTTAATTGTCATGAGATTTTTCCAAACTAAGTTCATGATATGGATTTTTAAATTGTATCTAATTTAAGTGACATTTCAATTCAAATCTAAATCTAAAACTGATAGACCTAATGATTTCAGGTGATTAATTCTTTTTTGTTTTTGTTTTTGTTTTGTTTTGTTCAAGATGGAGTCTCGCTCTGTCGCCCAGGCTGGAGTACAGTGGCACAATCTTGGCTCACTGCAACCTCTGCCTCCCAGGTTCAAGTGATTCTCCTGCCTCAGCCTCCCAAGTAGCTGGGACTACAGACACCCACCACCAAGCCTGGCTAATTTTTGTATTTTTAGTAGAGACAAGGTTTCACCATGTTGGCCAGGCTGGTCTCAAACTCCTGACCTCAGGTGATCCACCTGCCTTGGCCTCCCAGAGTGCTGGGATTACAGGGGTGAGCCACCGGGCTGGCCTAATTAGCATCTTTTAACTGAATAAAAACATCCTATTTAAAAGACCAAATATATTACTTCATTTGAAAATTAAAATATAGGGTTGGGCATGGTGGCTCACGCCTGTAATCCCAGCACTATGGGAGGCCGAGCCAGGTGGATCACCCGAGGTCAGGAGTTCTCATGAGATCTGGTTGTTTAAAGGTGTGTAGCATCTCCCCGCTCTCTCTCTTCCTCCTGCTCTGGCCATGTAAGATGTGCCTGCTTCCCCTTCTGCTATGATTGTTAAGTTTCCTGAGGCCTCCCCAGAAACAGAAGCCGGTACAGCCTGCAGAACTGTGAGCCAATTAAACCTGTTGGTTTTTTTTTTTTTTTTAATAAATTACCCAGTCTCATGTAGTTCTTTTTTTTTTCTGTCACCCAGGCTGTAGTGCAGTAGCGCAATCTCGGCTCGCTGCAACCTCCATCTCCCAGGTTCAAGCAATTCTTCTGCTTCAGCCTCCCGAGTAGCTGGGATTACAGGCGCCCACCACCACGCCTGGTTAATTTTTGTATTTTAATAGAGATGGGGTTTCGCCATGTTGGCCAGGCTGGTGTCAAACTCCTGACCTCAGGTGCTCCACCCACCTCGGTCTCCCAAACTGCTGAGATTACAGGCGTCGGCCACCGCGCCGGCCTCAGGTAGTTGTTTATAGCAGTGCGAGAATGGACTAATACACTTGGCTATGAAAATGAAAACAATCACGAAGGCAGGGTCCCTCCCCACCTCTCCATATCCCTGTTTTGTCTGGAGCTGCCTTGGGTAACGCTCAGCCGGGACCAGCACATTACACAAGGCAATGTCCACGTGCCGGGATCAGCAAGGATGAGCTTTCTGTCTGGGGTAAGAGTAAAGACTCTAACCCAGCACCACCTCGAGGGCTTCAGGCTCACTTTCTGTTGCTTGAAGTCCGTGACGTGCTCACGACGTCTGCACTCCTTTGAGGCCTCAGCAACAGTGTCCTTGAGCTGAGCTTCCAGCTACGAAACGAAGACGCACTTGTCATTAACACAAAGGAAGCACGGCCTTACCAGTTAGATCTTCCCCAAAGGACTTGTAAGAGAGCAAGACCTTAAAGGACCTTTGTATTTTTTCACCCTTTATCAATCTTATCACAAATTAAAGTTTCAGAAATACACCGCAGGGCTCAGCTGAAGTGGTTGGTTAGTAATAAAACAAGTTCAAATTCAAATTTAAGTTGATATTTTGAGATAAGATTTCAAGAAAGGGTACTGATTTGTGAAAACAAGTACTTCTGATTTCTGTAGAACACTGATTCATTTTTTAAATGGACAATTTCAGACACACACAGAAGAACAGAAGAAGAGAGAGTAATGAACCTCCTGTGCCTGGCACCTCGGCTTTGACACTAAGGAGAGGACTTTTTTTTTTTGACAAGATTCTTGCTCTGTCGCCCAGGCTGGAATGCAGTGGTGTGATCTCAGCTCACTGCAACCTCTACCTCCTGGGTTCAAGCGATTCTTATGCCTCAGCCTCCAGTTTAGCTGGGATTACAGGCACACACCACCTCGCCCGGCTAGTTTTTGTATTTTTTTTAGTAGAGATGGGGTTTCACCGTGTTGGCCAGGCTAATCTCAAACTCCACCTCAGGTGATCCGCCCACCTCAGCCTCACCAAAGTGCTGGGATTACAGGCAAGCCACCGTAGTCGGCTGACAGTGAGCAGCTTGAGCTGAGCTTGCTTCATCTCTGCCTACGCACAAACCGCTTGAGAACAAATCCCAGGCAACGTATCACTGCATCCGATGTGGAATGGTAATCCTTAGTTAGGGGTTTCATTAACTTGAGTTGTAACTGGCTACAACTACAAATATATTTAGGTTGCAAAATAAACTAAGAAGAAAACAAACAGATATCCTGTGGCTAAACAGCAAAGGGCCCTGAACTTGAGCATGTGCTTTCAGACCTTCTCATTTGTGGGATTCATTAAATAAATTTTAATAGAATTTTTTTGAGACAGATTCTCACTCTGTCGCCCAGGCTGGAGTACAGTGGCACAATCTCGGCTCACTGCAACCTCCACCTCCCAGGCTCAAGTGATCCTCCCACTAAGCCTCCTGAGTACTTCATGCTAGATGTGCATGTCACCACACCCAGCTAACTTTTTGTATTTTTGGTAGAGATGGGGTTTCACTATGTTGCCCAGACTGGTCTTGAACTCCTCAGCTCAATCGATGGGCCCACCTCGGCCTCCCAAAGAGCTAGGATTAGAGGTGTGAGCAACTGCCCCTGGCCTTTAATCAAATTTTAAAGTAAGCATTGCTTAAAACATGTCACTCATCAACAGCAGAACATTCAGAATACCTAGGGCAGCAGTTCTCAAATTGTGGGCTGAGAACCTTGGGATCCTGAGACATTGTCAGAGAATAAATACCCTCTACTTACTGAAAAGGGAATTTTTAAAACCTAGTACCACAGTAATCTCTTTTAATAATTAATTAGCTATCTGTGGGAACCAGGAGTTCTTCATGTACTTCATCCGGAACAGTGTATCCAAACAGATTGAGTGCAGAAACAGACATGAGAACCCGAGCACGTTCTATTAAGCCAGATATTAAAGAAACATTAAAAAATGTAAAAATGCGGCTGGGTGCGGTGGCTCACGCCTGTAATCCCAGGACTTTGGGAGGCTGAGGAGGGCAGATCACCTGAGGCCGGGAGTTCGAGACCAGCCTGGCCAACATGGTGAAACCCCATCTCTACTAAAAATACAAAAATTAGCCGAGAATGGTGGTGCATGTCTGTAATCCCAGCTACTCAAGAGGCCGAGGCACGAGAATCGCTTGAACCCGGGAGGTAGAGGCTGCAGTGAGCGGAGATTGTGCCACTGCACTCCAGCCTGGGTGACAGAGCAAGACTCCATCTTAAAATAAAATAAAAAAAATGTAAAAATGCCATTCTTCTCACTAGATTTTTAAAGAAATAGTTACTTTTCATTACAAACTTTACGTTAACATGTAATGGGTTTTTGTTGTATTGAAAGAATTCTCAGTTTTAATTTCTGCCGTGGTGCATATTGAGAGCTGTAATCTACCTAAGTAGAAGCTCTTTGGGATCCCCAGTAATTTGCAAGAGTGTAAAGGAGTGCTTAGGCCAAGATGCTTCAGAAGCACTGGTCTAAAGCAAGTGGCTTGAAGCGTCCTAGACTATGATTTGCCTTTCTACTGCCATTGGCCCTTTATGGACTGCAGGTGCTCTTATTCAATTAAGCCGGGCCATATCACAGCTCAGCATAAATACCCTCTACTTACTTAAAAGGGAATTTTAAAAACTTAGGACTAGGAACCTCTTTTAATAATTTCACAAATAGATATTGAGGGATGAGCACAAAATAAATGCTTGGCAGATCAACTTACTTGGGTTCACATAAAACTTAAGATGATTTTAAAGTAATTTACATAATGCAGCCCAAGTTTTCAAAGATGTTTTATTAAGGTCATACAAAAGTCCAGTCAATACCATCGCTGAAATATCTAAATAGCTTCCTCCCCACCCCCCCTTTTTTTTTTTTTGAGACAGAGTTTTGCTCTTGATGCCCAGGCTGGAGTGCAGTGGCATGATCTTGGCTCACTGCAACCTCCGCCTCCCAGGTTCAAGCAATTCTCCTGCTTCAGCCTCCCAAGTAGCTAGGATTACAGGCACCCAATACCATGCCTGGTTAGTTTTTGCATTTTTAATAGAGACGGGGTTTCACCATGTTGGCCAGGCTGGTCTCAAACTCCTGACCTCAGGCCATCCACCCGCCTCGACCTCCCAAAGTGCTGGGATTACAGGCGTGAGCCACCACATCTGGCTAAACAGCATCCTCTTTCTGAGCTTCTTGGATCTTCAGATCTCCTGCCACATCATGTCAGCTTTCTGCATGGCTACTTCCATCTCCTCCTCCTTGTCCCACACCTTCTGCTTCTGGGAGTAGAGCTCTGCCATGAGCTCATTGAGCTCCAAGAACTCCTGCAGGGCCAGCTTTTGCTGCTGATGGGCATCTTTCAGTTCTTTGGCTTGGGATTTCAATGTCTCTGAAGCTTCAACCAATTGCTGAAAAAAAAATTACAGATGTTTTATGTTTGCTTAACAAAGGTCTGGAAGGCTGGACATTTAGTCTTACACTATATTAAAGAGTTACAAGTGACAGCCAATGCTGGTTACAGATTAAAGCCACAGATGGGAGAAATCCCCTGCTTGGAAAAAGCCCTGTGCTCACCTCACCCCAGCCAAACATTCAATGGGAAGACCACCTGGGCTCAGGTGCTGAGCAACAACCCCACACCAAGAAAGACCTCGCAACTGCATGGAGTAACTTACAGCAGGACAGCTGGCTCTGTAATGCCAACCTCTGCCCGAGGTCTTCTACACAATTGCAAAGGTGAATAAAGCATTTGGGCACTCAATCTAGTTACTTAAACACAAGAAGAAGCAGAAGCAGAAAAAAATACATAGGCAAAGTGCTGAAGATTTAAATCAGGCCAGGCACTCAAGCCTGTCATCCCAGCACTTTGGGAGGCTGAGGTGGGAGGATCACTTGAGCCCAGGAGTTCAAGACCAGCGCCTGGGCAAAATAGTGAGACCTCATCTCTTAAAAAAACTAAAAAAGAAAGAAAAGAAAATTAAGAAGAAAGAGATTTAAATCAAAGACTCCCTGGGTGGAGGGCCACAAGTAGGACTTACCACAAGTTCAGCTGCACTGACAACCCAACCTTACCACTTGCTGCACTGATGACCCTGACCTCCCTGCAGCTGATCTGGCCAACAGTCTGGCTGTTTAGTCACTGTCACACTTGCTGGACTAAGACTGGAAGTGACGAGACCTGGAGCAAGCTGGCAGGGCGGCTCCCACATGGGGAGGAAAGGCCTCCCCAGGCCTCTCTGGGTCCAGCTCAGAGTCACTGTGACTGTGTCAAGCAATGAGAGGCCGCCCAGCCCACACTGCACTCCCAGACAAGTCATGCAGGGGGATGATACCACAGATGATCTTAAGAAGCAATTTGGTTTTAAAATCTGCCCCATTTTAGAGGACAGATCACAAACTACAGGTCCAAGGACTTCAGTGTATAAATGAATGTATTTTAGAAAACAGAGCCTATGCAGTGAGCTGAGATCGCATGACTGCAGCCTGGTGACAGAGAGAGACTCTGTCTCAAAAAAAAAAAAAAAAAAAGAAAAAAGAAAAGAAAAAAGAACCTAATTGTGTTATTACTATACTTAATGGCATTTGAATATAAAGTTCAGATATCTTACTAAAAACCAAATTTATAAAGGAGTTATGGGGGAATCAGCCACATTTTAACATATGTCCTCTTTTGCAGTTCCCTGTCCTTACTAAGATGCCCCTTCTAAGAGCAGGGGGCATGGTGTAGAGAGAAGGACGAGGTCACTGGTGTCAGGCGCAGCGTGTCACTGCAGATAACACAGTGCCCTCTGGACATCGTTCCTCATTCAGAATGGGCGGGGCTGGGGGAGTTGCTGCTTACTCTGCGGGGTTGAACTGGAGATGGCAGATGATGACTGTGAAGTGGGTGCCTGCTGCAGGCAGCACGCTGAAAGGCACCCATGGCAAGGAGCCAAGCCCAGCTAGCTGACATGGGCTGTGTAGCAACTGGGCACAGCAGGGGCCCTGGAACCAGGCTTGGCCCTGTTGTCCTGCTTGCAGCAGGGACAGTCCATGAGTGGGAGTCCCAAGGAGGTCTGTAAACATCTGTATGAAATGAACCTTACAAAACTCTGCAAAGCCTCTTAAGCCTTTCTCACCCAGAACCAAACTGCCTACCTTGTGCATGTCCTCCTTCTCCTGCCACACCATGCGGTGCTGCTTCTCTGGCCCCCGTAGCTGCTGTGTGAAATCTTGTCGAGGCGCCGCCTTGTCCTCAAGTTGTCACTCAAGCCTGTTTGAATATGAGCAAAAGAGGAAATAATTTGTGTTCCTTTCTGTGTAGCAACTATATGTAAACGTTGTTAGCTGACTTATTGAAATGATTTAATAATTCACAGGACTGTTTTTTTTAGTGCTGTATACTAAATAAAATACACAAGGCAGCAATACTTAGGGGCCAGAAACACTGTTTACTGCAAGTCAATTATGGAATCATAACTTACAGTAAAAATGGGCATGTCCAAGGCTCAATTTTTCTTTTGTCATTTACAGTAGAATAGTTTGTTGCTAATTTTCTACACTGTCTACTGGGAATATGTGTTACTTTTATAATCAGAAAAATAAATATTGCAGTCACGTAGCATATAATGATGTTTCGGTCAACAACAGACAGCATATATATAAGAGTGGTCCCATAAAGTTATAATACCATATTTTTCCCGTAGCTTTTCTGTGTTTAGATACATAAATCCTTGCTGTACAGGTCTGTAGCCAAGGGGCTATATGCTATACCATGTGGCCTAGGTGTGCAGTAGGCTGCACCACCTTGGTTGGTCTAAGAACACTCTGTGATGTTCTCACGTCAACGAAATTACCTGATGATGCATTGTCGAGAACGTATCCCAGCCGCTGAAGGATGCGTGGCTGGACTGAAGAGCACCGTGTGATGTGGGCTACAGCTGAGTTCTGTGCATGATGTGGTTGGAGCCCTGAGGAAGGGGGGCTATGGACTGAATGGTGTCCCCCCCCGCCAATATTAGACGCTGAAGCTCTAATCCCCAATGTGACTGTAGTTGGGGACAGGGCCTATAAGGAGATGATGAAGGTTAAGTGAGGTCATAAGGGTGGGCCCTGATCCAACAGGATTCATGTCCTTATAAGAGACCAGAGCGCTTGGATGCTACCTCCCCGTGGGAGGACATGGTGAGAAGGTGGCTGTGTGCAAACCAGGAAGAGAGGCCTCTGGGGCTTTTAGCCTCCAGAACTGTGAGAAAATAAAACCCTGCTGTTTAAGCCACTCAGTCAGTGGTATTTTTTAGGGTGCCTGGGGCTAATACAGAAGGATTCACCCTCCTGGGGAGAAGGGGCCAGTGGCCTCCTCTGATTTTCCCAGCTGTCGGCAGAACTCCGTCCCTGCCCCTCCTCCTTTTGCCAAAGCATCTTTCTAAGGGAAGACCTGATTGCACTGTTCAGAGGTCCCCAAAGGCCACAGAAAAGTCTCAACTCCTGGACCTCGTGAGTCCCATCCCACTGGGGGAGCTCCCTCTCTCTTCTCTGCTCTCCTCTCAGGAGGGAAAGTTAAGGGCCTGCTTGGCCACCCTCCAGGGAGATGACATGGTGGGATGCTGCATCCTGGTGATGAGCTGGGGGTAAGCCAGCACGTCTCCTCCAGGGCTTTCCCCAGAACTGAATACACACTAAGATGATCTTTAGGGATGGAAGACTCAAACTGGGAAGAATCACACACCTGTAGTCCCAGCCTACAAGGAAGGCTGAGGCTTGGGGATCACTTGAGGCCAGGAATTTGAGTCCAGCCTGGTCAACATAGTGAGAACCAGTGTCAAAAAATAAATAAATAAAAAGGAAGAATCAGGTGACTGTTCCAAAGTCCTCCAAAATGGGTATTGGGTCCTGACTCTGCTCTTCCCGGGACAGGGGTGTGCCTTCCCCTTTCCTGTTGGCCATAAACCCACTCCCTCTCACCAAAGAAATAAGAAAAAGTGTTCACAGCACTTTGAGTTATGTGAGGTGTGCAGAATTTATCAGGCCCAGAGAGACAGGAATATGGACTTCAGTCACACGCCTTGTACTCATGCCCTGGGGTGACTGTTTAAAGGCATTTTGTTCCTGACTAGCTCAACCCATTATCTTCCTGTTCCTGGAATTTGTGATACCAAAGACAATGTAGACAATGTAGAGACAATAAATAGCTTTTTTTTTTTTTTTGAGACAGAGTCTCGCTGTGTTGCCCAGGCTGGAGTGCAGTGGTGTTATCTCGGCTCACTGCAAGCTCCACCTCCCGGGTTCATGCCATCCTCCTGCCTCAGCATCCAGAGTAGCTGGGACTACAGGCACCTGCAGCCATGCCCGGCTAATTTTTTGTATTTTTAGTAGAGACGGGGTTTCACCGTGTTAGCCAGGATGGTCTCGATCTCCTGACCTCGCGATCCGCCTGACTTGGCCTCCCAAAGTGCTGCGATTACAGGCGTGAGCCACCACGCCCTGCCTTCTTTTTTTTTTTGAGATGGAGTTTTACTCTGTTGCCCAGGCTGGAGTGCAATGGCATGATCTTGGCTCACTGCAAACTCTGCCTCCTGGGTTCAAGTGATTATCCTACCTCAGCCTCCCAAGTAGCTGGGACTATAGGTGCTCACCACCATACCTGGCTAATTTTTGTATTTTTAGTAGAAACAGGGTTTCATCATGTTGGCCAGGCTGGTCTCGAACTCCTGACCTCAAGTGATCCTCCTACCTTGGCCTCCCAAAGTGTTGGGATTACAGGTGTGAGCCACCACGCCTGGCCCAATAAATAGCTTACGTTATTTTAATATAAATTCCTCAGGCTAGGCCAGCCGAGGTAGGAGGATCCCTTCAGGTCAGGAGTTCAAGACTAGCCTGGACAACACAGCAAGACTTCTCTAATTTCAAATTCTTGGTAAACAACTTAGGAACTGCCTCTTCTTTTCCTTTAAAAACCCACTTATAACTGCTGCTAATATTTTAAGACAACTTGCATCTCCAGGGTTGCACTTCTCAAACTTGGCCCAAATAAACTATTTTTTTTTTCAAGATGGAGTTTTGCTCTGTCACCCAGGCTTGAGTGCAGTGGCGTGATCTCAGCTCACTGTAACCTCTGCCTCCCGGGTTCAAGGGATTCTCCTGCCTCAGCCTCCTGAGTAGCTGGGATTACAGGCGCATGCCACCATGCCTTGCTAATTTTATTTTTTGTAGAAACGGGCAAGGTGGGACTCACCACGTTGCCCAGGCTGGTCTCGAACTCCTGACCTGAAGCAATCCTCCTGCCGTGGCCTCCCAAAGCACTGGAATTACAGGCATGAGCTGGTGTGCCTGGCCCAACCTCTCCACTTACGTTAATTTTGCCTCCTTTCTTCCTTTTTTTTTTGAGACAGAGTCTGGCTCTGTTGCCCAGGCTGGAGTGTGCTGTGGCCCAATCTCGGCTCACTGCAACAACTGCCTCCCAGTTTCAAGCGATTCTCCTACCTCAGCCTCCCGTGTAGCTGGGATTACAGGTGCCTACCACCAGCCAGGGTAATTTTTGTGTTTTTAGTAGAGATGGGTTTTCACCATATTGGCCAGGCTGGTCTCGGGAACTCTTGACCTCAAGTGATCCACCCGCCTCGGCCTCCCGAAGTGCTGGGATTGCAGGCGTTAGCCATCGCGCCCGGCCCGTTTTCTCCCTTTGGGTCAGAAAAGTGATTGAATCCTGCCACTTCCCGGGTGCTGGGTGGGAACAGGGAAGAGGGGGATAATTGCGGTGCTGCTGTGACTTGGGTAGATGGCGGCAAGGCCTCTCAGAGGTGGCCTTGTTTGCAAAGATCTGAATTAGGCAGGGAGAGGAGCAGGCCTGGGGCAATCAGGGAGGGGCAGTGGCACACTGGGAGCAAGGCAATGTTCCGCGACCCACAGAGGCAGCGCAGTAGCTGTTCCAATCCTGGTCGGAAGACACCCCGGAAATGCCTCAGCAACCGCGCAGCCTTTGATGACCCCGCTGCCTTCCCGCCAATCCTGCATCCAATCAGAGAGCATCCCCACTACACGTGTTGAGCAACGGCCAATCAGAACTGGGATCCGGCCCTCGGCCTGCCTCCCAGGAACTCCGAGCCAATGGCGGCCTGGCACCGGCAGGCCAATCCTGTGCGGCGCGCGTGGGCAGGTCATTGCAGTTGGGCGCTCAGCAGCTGTGGCAGCCGGTTGAGGTCTGGAAGTAGCGTTGGGCTGAAGCAGCGGAGTTCGCCATGGTAAGACCCGGGTCACTCCCGCCCCGCAGATGCCCAGGCAGACGAAGTTGGCCTCGGGTGGACAGAGGGACGTTGTTGCGGGCCTGGGCGCTGAGAGGAGGCCAGAGAAGGACGCAGGGTCTAGTGCGGGACAGGAGGACACGGGATCGTTTCCTGGATCTGCAGGTCCCAGGGCAGGGACGGCGGCTTTTGTTTTAGATGAAGCTGCCGGCCTTTAGTGGACGGGGACCATTGACGGTATCCCGTCCCCCAGAGAGCAAATAGTGGCGTCGCCTCCTGAAGACAGGAGGGCGCTGCTCCCGCTTCACACGTCTTTGTGCTACTGGAAACAGCTGAGGAGCTGCAGGAGCCTTCGGTGACGGGGGTTGGGGCTGTGGACATTGGTCAGATGAGGAATTAAGGCTCAGACGCTGCTGCAACATTGCCTTGTTCACCTAAAGGCAACCGTTAGGCCAGGCGCGGCGGCTCACGCCTGGAATCCCAGCCCTTGGGGAGGTGGAGGCGGGCGGATCCCCTGATGTCTGGAGTTCAAGATCAGCCCGACCAACATGGCGAAACCCAGTCTCTACAAAAAAATACTAAAATTACCCGGGCATGGTGATGCGAGTCTGTGGTTCCAGCTACTCGGGAGGCTGAGGTGGGAGGATCAGCCGAGCCTGGAACTTTGAGGCTGCAGTGAGTCGTGATGGCGCCAGTGCACTCCAGCCTGGGCCACAGAGACCCTGCCTCAAAAAACCAAACAAAAAAAGCAGCCCATTAACATAACAGATTCCCAAGTCCCAAGTCTGAATAGCTGTGATTTGTCAGTTATCCTTTTTTTCCTTTCTTTTTCTTTTTTCTTTTCTTTTCTTTTTTTTTTTTTTTTGAGACAGCACTCAATAAATGCTCTGTTGCCCAGGCTGGAACACAGTTGCAAGATCACGGCTCCCTGCAGCCTTGAACCCCTGGCTTCCAGCAGTCCTCCCGCCTCAGCCTTCCGAGTAGCTGGTACTACAGGTGTGTGCCACCACACCTGGCTAATTTGTAAATTTTTCATAGGGACAGGGACTCACTATGTTACCCAGGCTGGTCTCAAACTGGTCCCAAGTGATCCTCTCACCTCAGCCTTCCAAAGTGCTGGGATTACAGGAATGAGCCACCACACCCAGCTTGGCAGAGTTTAAAGAAACCACCAAAGGACAGTGCAGTGTCCCAGCACTGATGATGTCTGGGAGCCATTACACCCGTAGGCTTCAAGGGGTAGAGAGAGGGCGTGGTTACAAGAAATTAGGAGGGTAGTTTTATGAAGAGGGCAGCCTGCCAAAAGTGTAGCCTTGAGAGGGATTCAGGTCACCCACAGCAGTTGAGCAGGAAGGGGCCAAGGAGGGAGTACCCTGGCACTGCTTTCCTCCAGCCCCCCAGTATCCCACTGCTGCCTGCCATTGACCAAACCAGCAAGAAGCCAGAGGGCGAGGAAGGCCTCTGATGCTGTTCTCAAGGGTCAGCCTTCGAGAGCACAGAGCAGGTGGTGAATGATGGACGGGGTAGAACTGGGGGGCAGAGAGAGGACACACACTGAGCACCTGGGCTTGGACCATGGTGACCTGGGACCTACTCTGTATTTCCTTACCCAACCCGACTACCTTATCCTTTGATCAGGACATAATCAAAAACTGCTACTTATTCTTCAGAGAATTACTGTGACGGGCTATAATGTGGGGTTGATTATTGACATTAAATGGCTTCCAAGTTTTAAAATAACCTAAGTTTTGTGTAGTGGCAAACAGGTTCTAGGGCTACTTCTAGAACTTACTAGCTAGTATGGTTTACAGCAATTAGTTTTCACAGCGATAAAGGGATCAGTCACTAACCCTCCTAGGAAATATCGATTGTGAAAGCGCCAGATACTGAAGCACTATATAAATATTAAATTAGAATATTTTGCATGCCATATAGTTTCAAGTTGCCTTGAAATGAATGGGTTCACATTTATGTTCCGGTTCACAGCGCGAGTGTATCTCTATCCACGTGGGGCAGGCGGGTGTCCAGATCGGCAATGCCTGCTGGGAACTGTACTGCCTTGAACATGGAATTCAGCCCGATGGTCAAATGCCAAGTGATAAAACCATTGGTGGCGGGGACGACTCCTTCAACACGTTCTTCAGTGAGACTGGAGCTGGCAAGCACGTGCCCAGAGCAGTGTTTGTGGACCTGGAGCCCACTGTGGTCGGTAGGTGCCTGGGCACTGGATGGCAGCTTTCCTGAGAGGGTGGGAGAGCATTGGTAAAGCCCCGTGTGGGCTCCTTTGAATCCTCCTGCTGAAAGGATGGGATAGACAGGCATATGCCCATGGCATTGTTAGGAGAGAAACTGAAAGGTTTGTGATGAAAGTGTCTGTGAGACTCGGCTCCTAATTTAGGAAAACCTGACCTACAGGGAAAAGCTGCTTTGCCAGCAGTAAGATGGGCTGTGAAGAGATTCCCTCATGGCTGCCTCAGCCCTGCTCAGGTGGCCCTGCCTGCAGGGTGCAGTGGCATTGGTTCCCTCCCGAATGCTGTGCATTCTCTTATGCTGGTGCACGAGAGTCTTGACCTGCATCTTAGGCATAGAAGGTAAGTACAGAACAGTCATTTGCTTCCTTCAGATTCGCAGCCTGAGGTAGTTTCCAAGGAGAGCTACAAAGAGGCAGCACCTTTCAGTGGCCCCCCAGGAGATGACAGCATCACCTGAAAGCCTGTGGGACCCAGGTCATCCAGGGTGCCCTGATGGGACTGCCCTGCAGAAGTCACACTGACCTGGTGACTGCCCAGGTTGTAAGAGTTTTTAACTTACAGCCTTTGATGTAGCTACACGTAGGAAAGAATTATGTACCTGAGTAGGAGTGCAAGAGCTTATTTCCTTTCACTGGGAACTGGTCGTGCTGACATTTATACCACAAGCTGAGTTTAACGTCGTAGAGTCATAAATTGCATATGCAGTTTGGTTATCACACAGAGACATTTTCTACCAGACACTGCCACTGTTGACCTATGACATGTAGGTCATGTACTTTGAACAGCATGTGCTCTGTAGAAGTGAACACTCCTGGAATGTGTCCATCTTGGTGAGTACAGGCCTTAAAAATTCACAGTACACACTGTCTCTTTTGCAGATGAAGTGCGCACAGGGACCTACAGGCAGCTCTTCCACCCAGAGCAGCTGATCACCGGGAAGGAAGATGCAGCCAGTAATTACGCCAGGGGCCATTACACCATCGGCAAGGAGATTGTTGACCTAGTCCTGGACCGGATCCGCAAACTGGTAAGAAGAGAAGGTTTCATGTGGCCATTGTCTTGCATGGGAGGGGTAGTTCTTGGAATGTGAAAGGGAAGTCATTTTATCAACACTTAGACCAGCATCTTGGCCGGGCGCGGTGGCTCACACGTGTAATCCCAGCACTTTGAGAGGCTAAAGCAGGTGGATTACCTGAGGTCAGGAGTTTGAGACCAGCCTGGCCTACATGGTGAAACTCTATGTCTACTAAAAATACGAAAATTAGCTGGGTGTGGTGGCACACACCTGTACTGCCAGCTACTTGAGAGGCTGAGGCAGAAGAATTGCTTGAACTCGGAAGGTGGAGGTTGCAGTGAGCTGAGATTGCACCACTGCACTCTAACCTGGGCAACAGAGCAAGATTCCGTCTCAAACAAACAAGCAAAAACTTAGACCAGCATCTTGAGTCCTACTGAGTCTGCAATGGTGATTTGTCCGTAGATCTTTGCTTTTCTTTGCTTCAAAGTGTATTGCATGTTTATTATGGATGATTTGAATCCATATCAACTCTTTAGAGGCAAAGAGAAGCGGCCCTGGCTTGTTGGAGGTTGGTGGTGTGGCTTCCACGGGCATTGGCTCACGTTGTCTGGTTTCTCTCAGGCGGATCTGTGCACAGGACTGCAGGGCTTCCTCATCTTCCACAGCTTTGGGGGCGGCACTGGCTCTGGGTTCGCATCTCTGCTCATGGAGCGGCTCTCAGTGGATTACAGCAAGAAGTCCAAGCTAGAGTTTGCCATTTACCCAGCCCCCCAGGTCTCCACAGCCGTGGTGGAGCCCTACAACTCCATCCTGACCACCCACACGACCCTGGAACATTCTGACTGTGCCTTCATGGTCGACAATGAAGCCATCTATGACATATGTCGGCGCAACCTGGACATTGAACGTCCCACGTACACCAACCTCAATCGCCTGATTGGGCAGATCGTGTCCTCCATCACGGCCTCCCTGCGATTTGATGGGGCCCTGAATGTGGACTTGACGGAATTCCAGACCAACCTCGTGCCGTACCCCCGCATCCACTTCCCCCTGGCCACCTACGCCCCAGTCATCTCAGCTGAGAAGGCCTACCATGAGCAGCTGTCTGTGGCTGAGATCACCAATGCCTGCTTCGAGCCAGCCAATCAGATGGTCAAGTGTGACCCTCGCCATGGCAAGTACATGGCCTGCTGCATGTTGTACAGGGGGGACGTGGTCCCCAAAGACGTCAATGCGGCCATCGCCACCATCAAGACCAAGCGCACTATCCAGTTTGTGGATTGGTGCCCGACTGGATTTAAGGTATGACTGGGTGACATGGAGGCCTTTCAGCAAGCAGCAGATGCACAAAATAACACTGGCCTTGAAGGCCCACATCCTTTGGGGAGACTATCCCTGTTCCATGGGCTAGGCATGTGGGCATAAGTTAGTGAACCAGAGTTGATAATTGATTCAGTGATTTTTTTTTTTTTTTTTTTTTTTGAGACAGTCTTGCTCTGTCGACCAGGCTGGAGTGCAGTGGTGCGATCTCAGCTAACTGCAACCTCTGCCTCCCGGGTTCAAGCAATTCTCTGGCCTCACCCTCCCAAGTAGCTGGGATTACAGGTACCTGCCACCATGCCCGGCTAATTTTTGTATTTTTAGTAGAGACGGGGTTTCGCCATGTTGGACAGGTTGGTCTTGAACTCCTGACCTCAGGTGATCTGCCTGCCTCAGCCTCCCAAAGTGCTGGGATTACAGTCGTGAGCCACTGCGCCCAGGTCAGTGATGTCTTTTGAACTCTTTCTGAGTCATCACACTATATATCTGTGGTGAGCTTTATTTATTTATTTATTTTTTGAGACAGGGTCTCGCTTTGTCTCTCAGGCTGTAGTAGTGTGATCCTGGCTCACTGCAACCTCTGCCTCCCAGACTCTAGCGATTCTCTCACCTCAGCCTCCCAAGTAGCTGGGAACACAGACATGTACCACCATGCCCGGGTAATTTTTTTTTTTTTTTGAGACAATCTTGCTCTGTCGTCCAGGTTGGAATGCAGTGGCACGATCTTGACTCACTGCAACCTCCACCTCCCGGGTTCAAGCACTTCTCTGCCTCAGCCTCCCAAGTAGCTGGGATTACAGGCACCTGCCACCACGCCTGGCTAATTTTTGTATTTTTAGTAGAGATGGGATTTTGCCATGTTGGCCAGGCTGGTCTCAAACCCCTGGCCTCACGTGATCTGCCCGCCTGTCTCCCAAAGTGCTGGGGTCACAGGCTTGAGCCACCACACCTGGCCTGATGTTGTCATTTATAGAACGAGTTTGCTGATCCCTGCTCTAGTTGACCCTGTGCACTGCTGCCAGGACCTCAGGTCATGTTATTACCGAGTTCTGAAACTTGGAATGCTTCCCCTTTGGTTACCACCTTGGAATGTCACCCCCTACTTAGGCAGGCACATGGACCACTTCGACCACTTCCTGCTGCTGTGGTAGCAGCATTCATATGACTCTTGACCCATGATCTGCTACCTTTGCATATCCACAGTGGCTTGTTTTGTGGGTCAGAAGTGGGTATGATGTTCCTTGTGATAGCATGGGCAAGAGTTGTGTACTCTGAATCTATCTGGGTGGAAGAAGTTTAGCTACAGAATTTAATTGTAATTTACAAAGAAGACAAGCAGCATACATTTTCAGAGGGAAGACTGTCTTCACCTGGGCACCTATCACATGTCACAGGTACTAGGACACAGCCCTTTAGGTAGCTTGGGATCCCACCAGGGTGGCTACCTCCAAGGTTCCTTTCTCTATTCCTCGTCTGGAACTATCACCCTGCCTGGTGCAGAGAAGGGCTTAGTGACGTTTGTGAGGTGAACTGAGCATTCTCCGTGTCACCTACAGGGTGTCTTCTGTTTGAGGAGAAGTAGCTACCATTTCTAGGTTTGATATAAGCTTCACGGACTGCTTTCTTTCCCTTCTCTGGCAGGTGGGCATTAACTACCAGCCCCCCACAGTGGTCCCCGGGGGAGACCTGGCCAAGGTGCAGCGGGCCGTGTGCATGCTGAGCAACACCACGGCCATTGCGGAGGCCTGGGCCCGCCTGGTCCATAAGTTCGATCTCATGTATGCCAAGTGGGCCTTTGTGCACTGGTACGTGGGCGAAGGCATGGAAGAGGGAGAGTTCTCTGAGGCCCGCGAGGACCTGGCAGCTCTAGAGAAGGATTGTGAAGAGGTGGGCGTGGATTCCGTGGAAGCTGAGGCTGAAGAAGGCGAAGAATACTGAGGGGAGGGTGTGGTGGGTTCTCCCCTGCCACCCCTAGGATGGCTGCTTTCAAGTTGTTTGCAATTAAAGATTCTGTATAAAACCAAGACCTCTGAGTGTCATGCAGCTTAGCTCTGCCTACAGGAGCTGGTGGGACCCCAGAGCCTGCATGGACAGCGGTGGGGTGCCAGCCTGCCCTGCTGGCGTGGGGTTGGGTGCAGCAGGACTGTACATAAGCAGCTGCCACAGAAGTAACCTGACCAGGGGAAAATAGTGTTTCTTCAAAGCCAGGCGTTCAATGTATAGATTTCCTAAATTCTAGGAAAGCTGAGTCAGGGTTTTCAACTGAATTTGTGATTTTTCGGGCTTCTTTATTGATGGGTCATGCTGGCTAAAAGGGAGCATGAAGTGTTGGAGGTCTGTGGATGGGGCTTGTCCATGAAGTCTCTAAAGCTGTGGGTCAAATATGTAAGGTCAGGACATTTTAGAGGGGGAAAGAATATTAACCGAGTTCCACACAGCATTCGTGACCCACAGAAGGTCACAACACACCCATGCTGACCCCAGTGCTCCACGGTAACCTGGAAGGCAGCGTTCGCCCTCTGTGCGCACACACAGCCACCCTGTCCCTCAGCACTGTCAACTGCCTTGGTAGAAAACCTCCCATGAGGTGGGAGATCGAGACCAACCTAGCTAACACAGTGAAACCCCGTCTCTACTAAAAATACAACAAAATTAGCCGGGCGTGGTGATGGGCACCTGTAGGCCCAGCTACTTGGGAGGCTGAGGCAGGAGAATGGCGTGAACCCAGGAGGCGGAGCTTGTAGTGAGCCGAGATCGCACCACTGCACTCCAGCTTGGGTGACAGAGCAAGACTCCATTTCAAAAAAACCAAAAAAACCTCCCACATTTCACTTCAAGTGAAGCTTGTTGACGTCTATTTATAAAAGACCTGGCAATCCAGATGCCTTTTCTCAGAACCCAAATCAGGTTCAGGAAGTTGACCCATGGTGAAGGGACCTGGTTAGTTCACTGTGGCACAACCAGGACCGGCACAGAAACTTCATTCTAAGTGTGCCTTAATATAAAAAAAAAAACAAAAAAAAAAAAACGGTAGACAACATCTGACCTGGACCCTCTGCATCTCAGAAAGGTTTATTATCAATTGAAGGAGGTAACATGTAGCCTTTGCTGGGGACAAAGATGCAACAAGTCTCTGCCCCATCCTAGGTGCTGCCCCGTGTAGGGCTCTTCCCAGGCCCGCCCCCCTTGGGCAGCCTGGTAGCGCTGGGCTGGCGTGGCATCCTCTGGCTGGATCCTTCGCGGCTGCTGCGTTCCGCCAGGGCCAATGCTCCCCCGAGGGCAGCGCTGCCTTTGTTTCTCCCTGAGGAGACACAAAGCACAATGATTAGGAATGGGCGTGCCCCGTAACTGCAGCACCTGCTGTACTCGTGGTCCTTGGGCAACATTTGTGTCTGCACATTTCCATCAAAGTCCCTTCAGCTAGAGGCCCTGCATCAGCCCCAAGTCCTGAGACTCAGAACCACTAAAGACAGGTCACGCCCCAGAAGCCCTTCGCAGTGTGCAGGGGACCCTTTTGGATGTGTCCTAGGAGCAAAGCCATGCAAGGAGCACACTGCCAAGGGAACATTTTGAAAGGACACATGCCACGGGCCCATTTAGGGAAAGGTAGGTGTGCTGGTCCACACCTAGCCTGGTCAGCAAACCTAGTCTGCCCTGATGGTGCCATCAGCGGCGGCAGCAGCAGGGATGCGCTGCCTCATCCTCAAGGTGTGTTCATGCTGGACTGCACATCTGAGCTGCCCTAGATGGTGACAGGCAGGAAGTACTGCAGTCACCAAGTCCTGGAATTGGGTTTCTGATTTTGATTTTGGAAGCTCTTTCATTGTTTCCTACCTACCCGAGTGTTCTGCAGTGGTCAAGCCTCTTGCTTTCGGGTTTAGCTGCCAGATTCCATGACAGGGTTCCTGCCACAGTCTGAATGCTTGAGACTTTCCTTCTGACCACCAGAGGCTCTCTTGGATGAAGACCACTGGTTCAGAGTTTCTTTGATTTGTAATTTGCTTACTTTACTCTTTAAGATAGCCAAGAAAAATCTGCAACCACACTTGGGCCAGACCTTTATTTTAATGGGATGGATTTCCCTGGGCTCAGGGTGTTGACAGCATCGGCAAGACTGAGAGGACCCTCCAAGGTACAAACGTGCCCGGGTAGCAGGCTTGCCCGTGGGGTCACAGACCCCCATGTGGAGTGCCTTGGCCAGGGCTCTCCCCTGCTCTGGCCTGGCAGGGTCTGGCCTGTGGGCTCTAAACAGGGCATGTGTCCCCTGCCTGACTCAGTGTTGGGTCCCCCATTTCATCCCCCCAGTGTTTCCTTTGTCCTGACTGAGGAAGTGCCTTGACTACTCTGACCTAATCAGCTACATGTTCCCCCTGCAGGCTCAAACCCTGGCTGGGGCTTGCATGTTACCAGACACTGATACACGTTTAGGTTGTTGCCTGGAACACTGAAAGATCTGACATGTTGCTAAGCACGTGGAAACTGGTCCCACCCCAGCCAAATTCCTTGCACCCTCATAGAAACTCCACACCCCACCCCCTCAGTGCGGTGTGCCTAGGCACAACCTCTTTCCTGGCTGTCCCTCGTGAGGGTACACTGCAGCCCCCTCTGTATGTAAGCTCCCTAACAAATGCTTTGGACTGACCACCCTGGCATTAAGTGTTTCTTCCTTTGGAATCCCAACTGGCTCTCATCCTGGAAAGGTTTGGGGCAGTCCCTTGCAGGAACTCCCCTGCCATCACTTTTAGGGTGACTCCAGACA
This sequence comes from Homo sapiens, assembly GCF_000001405.40. Classification (NCBI taxonomy): domain Eukaryota; kingdom Metazoa; phylum Chordata; class Mammalia; order Primates; family Hominidae; genus Homo; species Homo sapiens. The sequence goes on along the minus strand of NW_025791762.1, from coordinate 365,561 downwards.
AGGGTTCAGCCAACAGAACACCCAGCCTCAATCCTGGTCCTTCCCTGGCCTCTTATCAAGTGTAGTCAAATACCCTGCAATGGGAAACTGGATTCCTGGAGAAAAGATGCAACCGGGTGTCTAGAGATCCATTAGGTCATTTCTGTTTCACCATCTGTCACCCTGAACAAGCAGAGACTCCTGTGTCTGAGATGCCGTGGACCCCCGCTCTTCCAGAGGTACCTCCAGCTCCCTTTCTATGCTAATACCAGAAAATTCTCCCCATACCCTGCAGGGATAGGACGGCCCTCCTTTTGAGTTTCCGGGGAGTTCTTCCTCAGAGAATGAGATCTTTGCTCATTCTTGCCTGGTGGTGGTGAGGGTTACAGCGGTGTCATGCTTGGAACTCTGTCAGCTTGTCACACTTGACTCAACAAAGATGGAGTCAGGGTTGCCCTGAGCCAAGGAGGAGCGCAGTCAGGAACACGTGGTGGGTGATGATTGGCCACCTCAGCCCAGCAGTGACTCGTGAAAAAGGCACAAAGCAGACAATAGCCACCACGCATCTCTTGTGGTACAAACTGCCATAATTCTAGTCCCCACTGACTGGTCAAGGGGCAAGGATTCTGTCTTCCATGAGCAGACGGGCCCCGCCACCCTGCAGCAGCTCCCACACTGGGCCAGCATCCTCCTCTGAGGCCACAGTCCCTCCGCAGGCCAGGCCAGACAGAGTCAGATCTTCTGTAGCCGCAGCCTAATCTGGGTGCTTAGGTGCCCATGCGCTCTCAGCTCCCCACAGCACGCAGCATGGCAGGCCGCAGACTTGGGCCTGACTCAGAGTCGGCTTCCCTTCAGCTTGCTGCCATCTGAGCTTCCTCTCCTCCCCTCAGCAATGACCCAGTCCCTTCTGGAAACAAGGATGAGAGGGAAGCAGAAAAGAGCAAATAATGCTTTTTTTTTTTTTTGAGTGGTGGGGGAGGGGGGTTTAGAGACTGAGTCTTGCTCTGTCACTTGGTCTAGAGCACAGTGATGCAATCACAGTTCATTGCTGCCCCAAACTCACGGCCTGGAGGGATCTTCCTGCCTCAGCCTCCGATGTAGCTGGGACTACAAGCATGGGGCCACACCTGGCTAATAATGCTTATCTTTAAATCTGACAGGGTTGACAAACCCTGGAAATGTGAAACCAACATAACTTTAAGCCATAACTGATACTAAGAAAATCCTGGAAATCTTCAGGAATTGTGCGCTCTCAGGGTTAGTGGGGAGCCCTGTTCAGGCCTCCTCACTTTATGAAGGATGAGAAGGCCCAGAATAGAATGGCCTGCAGTGCCTTGCAGTGGGGAAACCAGCTTTGCTTAGCCCTGCTCCCTCGGGAGGGGCTACTGAGTCAGACGGGCTAGACAGTGGGATTGAACCAAGTGTGGCTGCAGGTTGGGGTGTGAGGGCGGGGTGACTGATGCCCCTACGCCTGGTCCCTGGAGGGCCCTCCTAAACGCCAAAGATAGTCAATGACCATTGAATGTTGAAAACAGCCTGGCTCAGCAGGGGTCAGTGGCTCATGCCTGTAATTCCACTACTTTGGGAGGCCAAGGCGGGAGGATCCTTTGAGGCCAGAAGCTAGAGACCAGCTGGGACAACACAGTGAGACCTCCATCTCTACAAAAAATTAAAAAATTAGCCACGTGTGGTAGTGTGCACCTGTAGTCCCAGCTACTCAAGAGGAGGTGGGAGGATTGTCTGAGCCCACGAGGTTGAAGCTGCAGTGAGCTATGAGTGTGCCACTGCACTCCAGCCTGGGTGACAGAACAAGACTGTCTCAAAAATAAATAAATAAATAAAAAGTAAAAGAAAATGCAGAATTAGCTCAAATACTTTAATCTAAAATATCCAACGTATTATTTCAATACGTAATCAGTACATAAGTTATTCATAAGATGTTGCATTCACCTCTGTTCTTTTTCTTGTTTCTTTGTAGAAATGGGTGGGGTCTTGCTATTTTGCCCAGGCTGGTCTCAAACTCCGAGCTTCAAGTGATGATCCTGCCTCAGCCTCCCAAAGTGCTGGGATTACAGGTGTGAACCAATGCCCAGCCTCATTCACTTTGGGGTTTTTTGTTTATTTTTGAGACAGGGTCTCACTCTCTCACCCAGGCTGGAGTGCAGTGGTGCAGTCACAGCTCACTGCAACCTCAACCTCCCAGGCTCAAGCAATCCTCCAACCTCAGCCTCCCAAGTAGCTGGAACTACAGATGTGTGCCACCATGCCCTGCTAATTTTTGTGTTTTGTAGAGATTGGGTCTCCCTGTGTTGCCCTGGCTAGTCCTGAACTGCTGAGCTCAAGAGATCCAGTAGCTGTGGACTCCCAAGGTGTGGTGGGTTTTTTGCATTCCCTTTTGTACCGGTCATTTGGCATCTGCTGTGCATACCACACGCAGTGCAATGACCATGCCAGCCATGTGTGGCTCAAGGTTCCTGTATCAGGCAGCACAGCTCAGGTGAGATGGCTTCCACACTCCAAACGTCATCTTACATGCATGCTCTGGACAACTTTTAAAACGTATAGTTTCTCTAAACTTAAATAGAACGCTTGACTGAATTTATTTTTCCCTCAATGACTCCAGACTCTCACCAAGACAAGCATTGCCCCTCTGTGCTTCTGGGGTTTTCTATTTCCCCTTCCCTGTGGGTATGAGTGAATCTGGTGGTGGTTGTCCCCACAGGCTGTCTGGATGGCTGGGGGACAGGCATCCAGAGGACCCAGGGTGCCTGCTGCAGCTCAGAGGCAAGCTTGAGAGGGCCTGGCCCACAGCCTGGAGAACTCCACACCCGAGTCCTGTGGGAAACCTATGGCCTCCATGCCCCCCAGCCGGATCACTCCAACAACCCCCCTTATGTCCTCCACCCCAGATTCTGCCATTACCAGGGCAGCCGGAGCTCTGTGTGGTCAGATGCTGTAACATGTGGGCCTCAGAGAGCTCTCAGCATTCCATCTGTGGCCTCTGCTTCTCACTCAGCAGCACACTCCTGGTGTGGCCCCACATCTGCCCCATTCCCCTCCACCTCCTCCTCAGGTTCCACTCTATCTCCACAGGGCCTCGGTGCCCTCATGTCCTGGCTTTCTGCCACCCAGCCTACAGGACCTGGGCTATGCTTCCAGGACAGAGCCCTCAAGGAACAAATGACCCTGAGGGTCCCAGCACTCCAGGCCACTCCTGTCCTTGGGTAAATTCTCTCGGAGCCCCCATTCGCTCACACAGCACCCCCTAATCCTCCTGGCCCCTCTATGCCTGCATTTCCAGTGCCACAACCCTCACATACATCTTGACCGTGCCCCCCCACCTGCCTCCTCCCGCCCCCGGCCTACCAGCACCTGGACAGCGCTCTGCCTCACCCACGCCCTCCCACTGCCCCAGCTCACACGTGTGGGGCTCTGCCGACCCCCCTCCTGCTGTAACCCTTGTTACCCCCCTGTGTAACCCTTGCTGCTCTCTGGGCTCTGAAGCCTCCTCCCATCTCCATTGCTAGCGGTTTTTCTTTTTTTTTTTTTTTGAGACAGGGTCTTGCTCTGTTGCCCAGGCTGGAGTCCAGTCACAAGCTCTTGGCTCACGGCAACATCCCCCTCAGGCTCAGGCGATCCTCCCACCTCAGCCTCCCAAGTAGCTGGGACTACAGATGGGCGCCACCACCATGCCCACCTGGCTAGTTTTTTTTTTTTTTTGAGACGGAGTCTCGCTCTGTCCCCCAGGCTGGAGTGCAGTGGTGTGATCTCGGCTCACTGTAAGCTCCACCTCCCAAGTTCACGCCATTCTTCTGCCTCAGCCTCCCGAGTAGCTGGGACTACAGGCACCTGCCACCACGCCCAGCTAATTTTTTTTGTATTTTTAGTAGAGACGGGGTTTCACCGTGTTAGCCGGGATGGTCTCAATCTCCTGACCTCGAGATCCGCCCGCCTCGGCCTCCCAAAGTGCTGGGATTACAGGCGTGAGCCACCGCGCCCAGCCCTGCCTGGCTAGTTTTTGTATTTTTTGTAGAGATGGGGTCTTGCTATGTTGCCCAGGCTGGTCTTGAACTCCTGAGCTCAAGGGATCCACCTGCCTTGACTTCCCAAAGTGCTGGGATTACAGGTGTGAGCCACCACACTGGTCTCGCTGGTGGTTTTCCTCACTGCCTCTCACTGGGCTCTGAGTGTGATCATCTCACTTCCCTGCCACACCCTCTGCCCTGAGAGCTAGGCCTGGCTCCCAGAGCCCTGAGTGAGTGCTGAGTGAGCAGCAACATCCCCTGGAGTGACAAGGACTCTGTTCCCAGTTTCTCCCTCCTGCTGGACACTTGCCCCTCAATTGCTCATCTCAGCCTGCAGTGCATACACCCCTACTCCAGGCCTGTCCCTCAGCCCCTCTCCACCCTCCCTTGGGTCTGAGCTCTGGGTGGCAGTGAGGTGGGCGCTGTCAGGAAGTGCACGCAGGAGGTGCAACCAAAGACCCCTGGGCTCTCACAGGACCCTGGCTCTGAGCCCCTGATCACACCTGCTGACACCTGGAAAGTGTGCTAACTCAGGAGTGAGGTGGGCAAGGGGGCTGAGTGCTGGAGTGTGGCCACGGGGCCAGCATATGGCATCTGTGTGGCACTGCCCAGGAGACTCTGGGAAGGTGGGAGTCTCTGTTTCAGCCTCCAGACTTCCTGTCCAGATAAGGGACAACTTCTAAGAGGCCGAGGTGTTTGTCACGCCTGGGGCTGTGCTCTCCAGCACAGCACACCGCACTCTGGCCGGCTGTCTTCCCTTGGAGAGGGGCTCTTTACACTCACCACAGTTCGCCTCTGGGGTGTGGGGGTGTTGGTCCTGTCCCCAGATGCCAGCCCGACTGTGGGGTCTAGAGACTGCCACACTATGTCTCTAATAAACCGAGTCAGAAATCGTGCCCTGTGGCTAAGCGGCAGGGCAGCGATGGCCTGCATGGTCCTGCCCTTGGAGCTCAAAGCTGCTTGGGCCTCCTGGGGCCAGGCAGTTTCCATGGAAACAAGGGAGAGCACCAACCCCCAGAGATAAGCCAATAAACGCAACCTGCAAAAGGAGAGAACAGGCAGCAAGAGAGGCGGAGGGAACCCGGGGGGCCTGGAGAGAGAGGCGAGTGTGTGGCAGCCGGGCTGTGGAGCAGAACCGGAGAGGCCGCAGGCTGCGGGCTGGAGGAAAAGGAGGGCCTTGCAGGGGGGCTACTGTTCCTGGCAGAGAGAAAGGAGGCCTCTGGAGGTCAGAGAGAGACACAAAGAGAGCAGACAGAGCGAAGGTCAGTGAAGAGGCCAGCACGCAGGTGCCCGGGCCCTCTTGGGTCAGCGGGTGTGGGTGCCCAGGCCCTGGCACTCCCCCCATGAAGGCAGCCTGCTCTCCACGCCTTCTCAGGATGCCTGTGCGGGTCTCCTCGTGCTTCCAGGCAGGGAGCCAGCTCTGGGCCTTCTTCCATTGGCCTAGGAGGTTGTGCTGCATTTCAGAGAGAGCCATCGGGAGCAGAAGCAACATGCGGAGAGGATGAGCAGGGACGGAGGCTCCACCATGACACTCTCAGTCCCAGAATCTCCTCAGCCCAGTCACCACACTGGAGAGGGAGGAGGCCCTTCAGACCCCGCAGGCCTCTGCACCCTGGGAGTTCCGCGTCTGACTCTCTTCCTGCAGTCATCAGAGGGAAAGCTGACCAGGACTGGCCAAGCCCCTGCGCAGGAACTGGGCCCAGGTGGGGTAAAGGCAGGAAGACCTCTGCCTGCCCTGGTCCCTGGGCACTTCCCTGGATGCTGTATACCACAGGACAGAGATCGAGACTGTCTTTTGAAAAACATTTAGAGACAGGATCTCACCCTGTCACCCAGAGTGGTCTAAAACTCATGGCCTCAAACGATCCTCCCGCCCTGGGGTCCCAAAGATTATAGGCGTGAGCCAGGGCGCCCAGCCCCAAACTGTCTTGATTCCCGACGTTGTAGGATGAAGGCCTGAGTGAAGAGGTGGAGGGGAGCTAAGCGGAGGAGCCCTACCCAGCCTGGACCACCCTGGGGTACGCACTCTGCGTCCACCTGACCTGGACGTGCCTCCTAAGGCTGGCAGCGAAGCCCAGGAGCAGAGCCCACGGATGGGCCCTGCAGGTGCTGGGCCTAGACCGACAGACAGGCCTGGCCACTCAGGGCCACGCCGCCGCTGTGCCGCGCCTGCCCCCTCCCCGCCCGCCACCCCCGCCACTGGGGCAGGGACAGCGGGCCCAGCTCTGACCTCGGGTCTCGGGCACGCTCGACGTGGGCAGAGACACGGCCGCAGGGTCCTGGGGCTCGCTCGCTAGCCTCTGCCCGGCACACATGGACTTGAGCATCTGGAAGACGGCGAGGGGGGCCACGTTCAGCTTCAGCAGGTCCACCAGGATCCTGGCGGGGACAGACGCGGGGCCGGTGAGCCCTCTCCGCCCGGCGCGGCCACCTCCCTGAAGACCCGACAAGGACGGGGGCGGGGGCTCCTCCCGACCAGCGGGCCGGGCGTACCCGGAAAGCAGAGGTCGGGGGGTGTCTGGCTAGCATGCGGCCCCCACCCGCCCCGCTCACTTGAACACGTCGGGGTCGATAGCGCCGCCCGCCGCCTGCGCCAGCTCGTACAGCTCCATCTCCTCGGTGCTCAGCACCTTCTTCCGCCGCAGCGCCAGCTTCTGCCGGGCCGCCTCCAGCCCCGGGGGCGCCGCCGACCCCGGCCCAGGCCCTACGCCCTGCGCCGCCATCCCCGCGGCCCGCGGAAAGGTGCGCTCCGCCCCGCCGCGCCCCCTAGCGGCTGCGCCCACCACCCTCTCCCTGCAGCGTCAACGTCTGGCCTCCCGGGCTGCCCTGGCGGGAGGGGCGGGAGCGCGGGGACGGGGCCGCCTCCGCGGCGTCATTGAAGCCCAACAGTTATTGGGCGCTCACGGTGTGCTGAGCGGCGCTCTAGGAGCCGGGAGTGGCATGGCGGACCGCAGGGGTCCGCTGCTTGGCGATCTGGGCCTCCCTGATAGACTGCATTGGTCGTGCTCGCTTAGGTGGCAGCACCCAGCCCAGTGCCAGGCATACATTGGGCGCTCGGTAAATGCCTCTTTCAAGAAAGCGTGCAATTTTCTGGTCCGCACCGGTGCACCACTAGGGGTCGCTTTTCGGGGCGGGCGGGGGGAAGGGGGGGGCACTAATCAACAATACTGCTTACGCGCACGCGGATTCCTTGCTGGGGAGAAAGTACCTTGGGGCGCCGGAGGCCGCCACAACGCAGGCGCATTCAGCTAAGGACCACTCCCTCCCCCGCACTCCTGCCTCGCCATTTCTCTTCCCCGCCCGGCCGGCCTTCGCTTTGCGCACGCGCCTTTTGAGGTAACGGCCCAAAGAGGTGGAAGCGCTTTTCCCGCCCGGCCGCGGGGCGTGGCTCTGCGCGCAGCTTGATGACGACTTTCGGCGCCGTGGCGGAATGGCGGCTTCCATCTCTGAGGCGAGCGACGCTATGGATCCCACAGGTGAGTGGCGCGGGATGCGCGCCTGAGACGGTCCGGCGCCCTGGGGGCTTCCCCGAGCCCCTGCGGAGGCCATCTCCGTTCCTCCGCGAGCCCCAGGACTCGGGCCGGCCAGCCGGCTCTGCCCAGGCAGGGCAGGCTGGGGAGTGGAGGGCCCCGGTTGAGTCTTCTGCCACCCCTCTGGGCCATGCCTTTGTGCCACCTTCCCGCGCGGCTCGTACACTCTGTCCCGGTCCGGTAGGTGTTCGCTGAAGGTTAACCTTCGTTGAAGGAATTGAGGGAAGGAGAGCTTTGTGTTGAAGTTGAGCCTTGGGCTCAACAGGCGGTGTGGGTGTAAGAGCCGGGTGTGGGTCCCAGCTCGACCCTTCCCCTGTGTGCTCCACATCTCCGAGCCTTGGTTTTGGAGGCTCCCGAAGCCCAATTGGCAGGAGAGTTGGGAACAAGTGGGCGCGTGCTGTTAAGGGAGGTCTTGGCATGACAGAATTTGCTTGGAATGATTAGCGTTGCCCAAGGGCTGTCGCTGTCAGAAAAACAAAACAAAACAAAAAACAAACGGGGTCCGAAGCAGCTCCTGGAGAAAATAGGTGTTGGAGAGTCGCCATGAAGTGGACTCTAGGTGCATGGCACGCAGAGACCTGTGACGGGGGAGGGTGGCCATGGCAGAGTCAGATAACAGGGGTGTGGGAGACACCTCTTGGGAATTCTCGGGTTTGAATTTCCTTTCTTGGAAATTTCCTAGAAATTCCTCTGGGCCTCATTCTTTCAGTCGCTGCCCATGAAAGCTTCTTCTGAGCAGAGATGCTCTCCCCTTCATCGTCTCTAGAGCTCCGCACTTACCGAACAGTCCACAGTTTAATGCTGCTTTGATCATTTTGTAGTAGTGCAGCGTTTTCTTGACCAAGTGCCTTAGGACTGAGGCGTTTTTCTTTAACACTGCAGTTGATAGCTAGGTTAAGAATTGAGGCCGGGAGCGGTGACTCACGCCTGTAATCCCAGCACTTTGGGAGGCCCAGGCGGGTGGATCACGAGGTCAGGAGTTCAAGACCAGCCTGGCCAAGATGGTGAAACCTCGTCTCTAGTAAAAAATACAAAAATTAGCCGGGCGTGGTAGCGGGCGCCTGTAATCCCAGCCACTTGGGAGGCTGAGTAAGAGAATTGCTTGCACCCGCGAGGCGGAGGTTGCAGTGAGCTGAGATCGCGCCACTGCACTCCAGCCTGTGCGACAGAGCCCAGAGCGAGACTCCGTCTGAAAAAAGAAAAAGAGAAAGCTGGCCGGGCGCAGTGGCTCACGCTTGTAATCCTAGCACTTTGGGAGGCTGAGGCGGGCGGATCACGAGGTCAGGAGATCGAGACCATCCTGGCTAACACGTGAAACCCTGTCTACTAAAAATACAAAAAACAATTAGCCGGGCGTGGTGGCGGGCGCCTGTAATCCCAGCTACTAGGGAGGCTGAGGCAGGAGAATGGCGTGAACCCGGGAGGCGGAGCTTGCAGTGAGCCCAGATCGCGCCACTGCACTCCACTCTGGGCGACAGAGCGAGACCATCTCAAAAAAAAAAAAAGGAGAAAAAAGAAAAAGCGGCCGGGCATGGTGACTCACGTCTGTAATCTCTGCACTTTGGGAGGCCGAGGAGGGCTGATCACGAGGTCAGGAGTTTGAGACCAGTCTGGCCAACATAGTGAAACCCCATCTCTACTAAAAATACAAAAATTAACTGGATGTGGTGGCATGTGCCTGTAATTCCAGCTACTCGGGAGGCTGAGGCAGGAGAATTGCTTGAACCAGGGAGTCGGAAGTTGCAGTGAGCCGAGATCATGCCATTGGACTCCAGCTTGGCAACGGAGCGAGACTCCATCTCAAAAAAGAATTGAAAAAGTCGGCACTTTGGGAGGCTGAGGCAGCGGATCACTTGAGGCCAGGAATTTGAGACCAGCCTGGCCAGCATAGGGAAACCCGCCTCTACTAAAAATAGAAAAATTAGGCAGCCTGTGGTGGCAGGCCCCTGTAATCCCAGCTACTCGGGAGGCTGAGGCACGAGAACCGTTTGAACTTTGGAGGTGGAGGTTGCAGTGAGATGATGGAGTGAGACTCAGTCAAAAAAAGAAAAAAGAGGCTGGGCGCGGTGGGTCATGCCTGTAAGCCCATCACTTTGGGAGGCCGAGGCAGGCGGATCACGAGGTCAGGAGATCGAGACCATCCTGGCTAATACAGTGAAACCCCGTCTCTACTAAAAATACAAAAAAATTAGCCGGGTGTGGTGGCCAGTGCCTGTGGTCCCAGCTACTCGGGAGGCTGAGGCAGGAGAATGGCGTGAACCCAAGCGGAGCTTGCAGTGAGCCAAGATAGCGCCACAGGACTCTAGCCTGGGCAACAGAGCGAGACTCTGTCTCAAAAAAAAAAAAAAAAAAAGAATTGAAAAAACTTGGGAGATGTTCCTATTGCCGAGAGGCAGAGATTCCTGTCTCCTCTCACTCTACAGCTGCCTACATGGCCTCTTTACACCCAGCCTCTCTTCCTCCACAGACTGCCAGGTGTCACCCCAGTGCCTTTACTTGTGCAGTGGGCAGAGCTGGGCCATGAAAACTGTAACTAGCCCACCAGTGGGACTTGGCAGACTTCCTGTCTGTGAAGTCTAGGTCTGAGCATTTTTCATTTCTGACCTGGGTGAGCTGAGAGGTAGGATTCTGGAAAGCTGATCTTAGTTTTCTTTCTTTTTTTTTCTTTTTTTTTTTCCATTTTTTGAGAGTTTCCCTCTATCACCCCGGCTAGAGTGCAATGGTGTGATCTTGGCTCACTGCAACCTCCGCCTCCTGGGCTCAAGCATTTCTCATGCCTCAGCCTCCCGAGTTGCTGGGACTACAGGTGCCCGCCACCACACCCAGCTAATTTTTATATTTTTAGTAGAGATGGGGTTTTGCCACGTTGGCCAGACTGGTCTCAAACTCCTGGCCTCAAGTGATCTGCCCACCGCGGCCTCCCAAAGTGCTGGGATTACAGGTGTGAGCCATGGTGCCCGGCCTTTGATCCTAGTTTTCTCATGGCTTATTCAAAGGCTCCCTTGGCAGAGCTTGCTCTTCCCCTCCGTTCATTGCATAGTGCACAGGTAATATGGAGGGGATTTGCCCCTGTCTCAGTTTTGTGAGGTGGTGTTTGTATTGGAATCTTGGTTCTGCCACTTACTAGCTGGGTGGGGGTAAGTGAATTATCCCATTTCTGCCTCTCCTTCATCATCTGTACTGACCTGCAGTCATAGTACATCTGTACCCATCGGGTTGTTGTGAGGTTGGTTTTTCTATTCTTGTATGACAAACTTAGCAGCTTAAACCGGCATCCATTTATTATCTCATAGTTATGTATGCAGAAGTCCAGGCATTACAAGATTAAAATCAAGGTGTTGGTAGCTTTGCTCTTATCTGGAGACTCTAGGGAAGAAGCTGCTTCCAGGTTTATTTAGGTTGCTGGCAGAATCCAGTTCCTTGGAGTTGTAGAACTAAGGTCTTTGTTTCCTTGCTGGCTGTCAGCTGGGGACTACTCTGTAACTTAAGGTCCACTAACTTAGGACTCTAATTGGATGTGCAAAATGCCGTCATAGCAGTACCTAGATGAGTATTTGATTGAACAAACAGGGGTCGGGAATCTTGGGCTGCTATCTTTAGAATTCTGCCTACCACTGAGGATTAAATGAGGAGATATATAGAGAGCATTTAGAGCGAGTCCTGGTATATAACAAATGCTGTACAAGCATTACCGAGGATTCAGTACTACAAACTTGGCTCTGAAGCTGGCCACTATGGGCTGCAGGAGAACAGTATTTCTTTTTTTCTTTTTTTTTTTTTTGAGATGGAGTCTTGCTCAGCCTTCTAGGCTGGAGTGCAGTGGTGTGACTCAGCTCACTGCAACCACCTCTCCTGGGTTCAAGTGATTCTCGGGTCTCAGCCTCCTGAGTAGCTGGGATTATAGGCACCCACCATCATGCCCGGCTAATTTTTGTATTTTGGTAGAGACGGGTTTTCACCATGTTAGCCAGGCTGGTCTTGAACTCCTGACCTCAGGTGATCCTCCTGCCTCAGCCTCCCAAAGTACTAGGATTACAGGTGGGAGCCACCATGCCCGGCTGAGAACAGCATTTCTATAAAAGATGGGAATTGCTGGCCAGGCGTGTTGGCTCACACCTGTAATCCCAGCACTTTGGGAGGCTGAGGCGGATAGTTCGCTTGAGTCTGGGAGTTCAAGAGCAGTCTAAGCAACATGATGAAACCCCCATCTTTACAAAAAGTACAAAAATTAGCTGGGCTTGTTGATGTTTGCCTGTAGTTCCCGCTAGTTGGGAGGCTGACGCAGGAGGATCACTTGAGCTCAGGAGTTTGAGGTTGCAATGAGCTATGATCGCACCACTGTACTGCAGCCTGAGTGAGCAAGCAAGAGCCTGTCTCTAATCAATAAGTAAGACATGAGAATTGGCAATGTAATGTGTGTTGCGAATTGGTAATGTAATGTGTGATATTCTCCTGGGCATTGTGAAACTATGTAATATTTTGTTAGGGCCAGGTGCAGTGGCTCACACCTGTAACCCCAACACTTAGGAGGCCAAGGCAGGAGGATCAGTGGAGGCCAGGATCCTGGGCATCACAGCCTGACAAACTAGCCTGGGCAACATAGCGAGACCCTGTCTCAAAAAAGAAGAAAATTAGCCAGGCATAGTGGCACGTGCCTGTACTCAGGAGACTGACGTGGGAGGATTGCTTGAACCCAGGAGTTTGAGGTTGCAGTGAGCTATGATCGTGCTGCTGCATGCCAGCCTGGGCAACAGAACAAGACCCTGTCTCTAAAAAAATAATATAAAAAGATTCTGCTGTGTTACAGATGTTGAGATTTTGTCTTTGTTTTTCCACAGTGGTTTGCTAAGAAGGCCATTTTCAACTCTCCACTGGAGGCTGCTATGGCGTTCCCTCACCTGCAGCAGCCCAGCTTTCTACTGGTAAATATCAACTGCTTGCATGAGTGTCAGTGTGGCCATAGTTCTGTAGATGTGGGACTTGAGTGTTCTTCCCATTGACTTGAAGAACTCTGTAGTGGTTGTTTTTTAGGGGCATGTGATGGAAACAATGGCAGACTCCTTAACTTGACTGTGCCTCCTTATTACTACAGGACCTTGGGGTTACTCAACTTCTGGGCTCTGGGTTTTCTCACACAAGTTCATTCAAATTCTATTTTCTCTACTTCCCAAGGGTGTGAGGAGGAGGAAGAGCAAGTGAGAAGGATGTATATCAGAATGTTCATGACTTGTAAATTCTTAAATAGATATGAAGTATTCTAATAATCAGTCATAACTGTCATCAGTGAAAAATGGAGACACTGTTGTGCGGGGGCCTGCTAGGTTGCACTTTAAGTATTAAACATGATGCTGAGAACTGGGTGCAGTGGCTCATGCCTGGAGTTCCAGCTACTGAGGAGACTGAGGCAGGAGGATTACTTGAGCCCAAGAGTTTGAGACCAGCCTGGGCAACATAGTAAAGACTCAAAAAGGAAAAAAAAATGATACTGAGAAGTGAGAAGTTAGATATGAGGCAAGTATTGGTGATGAAAGTTCCTAATTTTAGTTCTTAGGAGGTGTTTTTGTAAACATTTATGTGGAAGGACATTCTTCCTCAGTGCACCCCACTAGAGTCAACAGGTCTGGCCCATGGCCAGATAGCTCAGGTCTCCATCTCTGTCTCAATCACTGTGAAATCCACCCTTGTTTGGAGGTAGACAAGGCCTTAGATATCCTTTGGCAAAGCTCTCTAGGTTGAAATTCTAGCCGTTTCTCCTGATCTTAATCCATTCGCACAGATGCCCTTTTTCTCCTTGTAGTCAGGGTGCTTTCCTCACATCCCACGACTAGGTAGATTTCATTAGTCCTTGTCCTGAGTCTTTTCTGGCCTCTCCATTGCCTTCATGATTAGTGTCTACTTGGCTGAAGCCATCTATAATTTTTGTCTGCCCTGTGTTTTAAGATCATTGGTTTAGTGGTTCAGTGTCTACCGAATAAAGGACAGCTCATTTAAGAGAGCTTCTGCCATAGCCGTGATGTTGTTGGGCGTTCTTACTGATGATCACAATGGTGTAATCACGGTGGTCCATCAGGCTGGAAATTTCCAGTTGATGCGTACAAACTCAGTTATACTCTGTGGTTTGTGAGGGGTGCCCTTACACAGTCAAGATCCTCTTCTGGCTGTGGGGCTGACTCTGGGACCAACCCCTACTTATGGATTGGTGGAAGTCAATCCTGTTCTGATCATGTGCAGCACTCTGAGGGGGTACTGGGAAACAAGGCTGATAGTTCCTGGTCCAGAGAGCATAGAACTACGGCCTCTCCTAGTAGTACTCTTTGGGCCACTGACACACATGAGGGGCTGGGGAACCAGGCCAGAGGTTATGGGTCTGACTCATAACCTATTGCTTGGATTTCTGTTTGACTCAAGCCAGAGTGCCACTAAAAGCTGCAGAGTGAATGTCCTCGTGACTTTTTCGCTTTGTTCTGTCTTCTAGGCTAGCCTGAAAGCTGACTCTATAAATAAGCCCTTTGCACAGCAGTGCCAAGACTTGGTTAAAGTCATTGAGGACTTTCCAGCAAAGGTATAGCTCTGCTAACGTCTCTCTTTGGAGCATGTCTTATACATTCGTTGAAGAACTTTATTATAATTCCTAATTTCCCTCCCCGCCCCAACCCCGAGCACTGCCTGGCACAGAGGCCTGGCCATTACCATGACCATTATGTTTACGGACACATTTAAACATGTGAACTTGTAGATCAGGGGTTCTCAGCCACAGATGCTCTGTTCCTCAGGGACACTTGGCAATGTCAGAGACATTTTTGGTTGTCACATCTGGAGGTAGATGGGGAGTGTGTGCTACTAGCTTCTAAGAAGTAGAGGCCAGGGTTGCTGGAAACATTCTGCAAAGCACAGGACAGCTCCCTGCGACAAAGAAGTATCTAGCCCAAAATGTCAACAGCACCAAGATTGAGAAACCCTGATGTAAATACTAAAAATATGTATTTAAATCACACCTGGAATTGTCAAGCCCAGGAAGCTGGCCTAGACAAGGAGTTAATACCAAATGGCAATAGGTCAGTTAGGTTTCAGGGGCTTCACTCTGGAAAGGATGTTGCTTTCCTTTCTGATAGAGCATCCTTCAAGTCAGAAGTTTCCATCACTGTTTAAAGAATCTTTTTTTTGTGGTGGCTCATGCCTGTAATCTCAACACTTTGGGAGGCCGAGGTGGGAGGATCACTTAAGCCCAGGAGCTCAAAACCAGCCTAGGCAACATACTGAGAACCTATCTCTACAAGAAATTTAAAAATTAGCTGAGTGTAGTGGTGTGTGCCTATAGTCCCATTTACTCAGGAAGCTGAGGTGGGGGGATTGCTCGAGCCCAGGAAGTCGAGGCTGCAGTGAGCCATAATTGCGCCACTGCACTCCAGCCAGGGCAACAGAGTGAGACCTTGTCTCAATAAATATGTATTTTGTTTATTTTTTTATTTTATATTTTTTTATTTTCATTGTTTGTTTTTTTTTAAATTTATTTATTTTTCTTAATTTAATCTTCTATCACACACAAAAAATGTATTTTGATCGGAGGCTGACTTACTTAACTGGCCCAAGTCTAAAGCAACACTGCTTGGTATGCCATGTACCCCACTGGAAGAACGTAAAGCTGCTCTTGTCGTTGGCACCATGGCACCAGGCTTCCTTTGGGTGCAGGGCTGATCCCATAGGTCTTAGCCAGGGAGTGGCTTCCTCAGAGGGAGCTGGGCAGCAGGTGGTGCAGGACTAGAGCCGGGGCAGGAGTGGGTGCTGGTCCTGCACGCGGCTTCACCACACATTGTTTCAGGAGCTGCACACCATCTTCCCATGGCTGGTAGAAAGCATTTTTGGCAGCCTAGATGGTGTCCTCGTTGGCTGGAACCTCCGCTGCTTACAGGGGCGCGTGAATCCTGTGGAGTACAGCATCGTGATGGAATTTCTCGACCCTGGGTAGGTAGGTTGGTCACCGGAGAGAGGCTGGGTGATTCCTCATGGTGATTCCACCTTTAAAGCACTCTCTGAATTTCTCAAGATTAAGAAACAATCAAAGCAAGATAATTCGCAGTTCATTTGCCCTGTTTTTGTTTGTTTGTTCAATTTCGTGTTCAGTGGCCCAATGATGAAGTTGGTTTATAAGCTTCAAGCTGAAGACTATAAGTTCGACTTTCCTGTCTCCTACTTGCCTGTAAGTAAACCACAGTGGCGAGAGTGGTGCTCGGGGCAGTGGGCCTTGCACAGCCCTGTGGTGATGGGCAATCTCCTCCAGTCCTCTGAGGGCAAATTGAGGAGCGATTCGTTCCAGGGGTGTGAGAGGCAAAGGAAATGGGTATTGCATGACTGCTACCCTTGCTGTCTGCAGCTCTTTATGAGATGATGGTAGGAGAAGTTCTAAGCAAAGACTCTTGTTCAGGCACTGCTCAGAGGCAGGGCACTGTCCCCACAGGTGGGTTCTGTGTGTGGGTCTCTTCCCCAGCAGCCTTCCCAAAGTGCTGCTGTGCATGTGGGGTACTGCGTATCGGGCACTACGCACCAGCACCTGCCCACAAGCCTCACTGCCTCTCTCTGCAGGGTCCTGTGAAGGCGTCCATCCAGGAGTGCATCCTCCCTGACAGTCCTCTGTACCACAACAAGGTCCAGTTCACCCCTACTGGGGGCCTTGGTCTGAACTTGGCCCTGAGTATCCTTTGGTGGCCCTGAGGTAGGGAGGCTGTGGGTGGCCCAGCACTTGACACTGAGCGGGGGGTGGCTCATCAACCCTGCATGTTTGCCCCTGACGCTGCTCTCAGATCCGTTCGAGTATTACATATTCTTCTTTGCCTTGAGCCTCATCACTCAGAAGGTAAGGAAGGGATGCCTTTTGCTGGGAGAGGTGGGGCCACGGCCCAGGGCTTCCCTGCACTTGTTGGTGCTTGGTGGCCTGGCAGTGTCCAGAGCCCATGCTAACAACTAGCTTGGTTTTCCAGCCACTTCCTGTGTCCCTCCACGTCCGTACTTCAGACTGTGCCTATTTCATCCTGGTGGACAGGTACCTGTCATGGTTCCTGCCCACCGAAGGCAGTGTGCCCCCACCACTCTCCTCCAGCCCAGGGGGGACCAGCCCCTCACCACCTCCCAGGTAAGGCTGCCCTTTGTTAAGACCTGGCCCTTCCATAAGGGAGTGGCCTGGTCACTTGCATCGCCCACGGGGACAATGTTGCCACCCTTTGTCCACGGTTCCCCAATTTTTCTTATGCCTCATTCCCCATCCCCAGCTGTCTTAGCACAGACTGGAGGGTGGGGTATGGCGGGCAATCTGTCCTTAGTGTTCAGTGTCTTTGGCCATCACTGAAGCTATCAGGTCCCTGGAGGCCTCCACGGCCTGCATGGGAATGGGCTGTGTTGTGCATGGAGCAGCCGTCCCCACAGGCGGTGTCTGAGTCAGTGAGCAGGGTGGAAAGGTTGTCCTATGAGCAAAAAAAATAGGAATCTCTATGGGCCCCAGGAGCAGATCTTGAAGGGGAGGCCCTGGGCCAAAGAGCCTGTTTTGTCAGTCCAAACAGGCTGAGCCTGATGCGTGCCTGCACAGGTTGGGAGTGTGAACCAGGGGCTCTCATGCCTGGCTGTCCTGGGTCCTCAGTGGGCACTAACGCAGGCCGACTTCCCAGGAGACCCTCTTGCCCCAGCAGCAGCTGCCTGTGCACCTCTGACCCTCTTTAATCTCACTGGCCCATCGCCTTCCCCAGGAAGCTGCATGCAGGCCCCTTCCTGCAGATGCTGGCCCACCCCAGATCTGCTGGCATGTGTAAGGCAGGCCAGGCCTTTACCTACAATTCACGTGTGGACAGATTCCCCAGAGGGTGGAGGGGAGAAAGGGAGTGGCAAGGAGGAGACGCTGCCCAGGTAGCGGCAGTGATCAGTGACCCTGAAATGTTGCTGATCCTGTGGAGGACTCGGAGGTGAGGCAGATTCACACCCTCTTAGATGCAGAATTCAGCTGCCAAGCAGTTTTTGATGCCTGGTTTTTTTGCTTGTTTTAACTTTTTGGGTTGTTTTAATTTTTTCTATTAGAAATTATATACGTAGGCTGGGAGTGGTGACTGATGCCTGTAATCCCAGCACTTTGGGAGGCCAAGGTGGAGGGATCGCCTGAGGTCAGGAATTCGAGACCAGCCTAGCCAACATGGTGAAACCTTGTCTACTAAAAATACAAAAATTAGCTGGGCATGGTGGTGCACACCTGTAATCCCAGCTACTCAGGAGGTTGAGGCGGGAGAATTGCTTGAACCCGGGAGGCGGAGGTTGTGGTGAGCTGAGATTGCACCACTGTACACACACACAAAAAAAAAAAAGAAAAGAAATTATATATATATGGTTTGGGTTTATTTATTTATTTTATTTTATTTTATTTTATTTTGTGTTTGGAGATGGAGTCTCACTCTGTCGCCCATGCTGGAGTGGTGCAGTGGCATGATCTTGGCTCACTGCAACCTCCATCTCCTGGGTTCAAGTGATTCTCCCACCTCAGCCTCGCAAGTAGCTGGGATTACAGGCACAGGTCAGCATGCCCGACTAATTTTTGTATTTTTAGTAGTAACGGGGTTTCACCATGTTGGCCAGGCTGGCCTCAAACTCCTGACCTCAGGCAATCCGTCCACCTTGGCCTCAGACAAAGTGCTGGGATTACAGGTGTGAGCTACTGCACCCAGCATTTTTTTTTTTTTGAGACAGGGCCTGGCTGGGTTGCTCAGCCTGGAGTGCAGTGTTGTGATCACAACTCACTGCAACATTGACCTCCTGAGCTCAAGTGATCCTCCCACTTCAACCTCCCAAGTAGCTAGTACTATAAGCATGCACCCCCACACCTAGCTTTTATTTTATTTTTTTGTAAGATGGGTCTTGCTATGTTGCCCAGGCTGCTCTAGAACTCCTGGGCTCGAGCGATCCTCCTGCCTTAGCCTCCCAAAGTTCAGAGATTACAGGCATGAACCACTACACTGGTCCATTGTGTGCTTTTTTTTTTTTTTTTGACAGGGTCTTACTCTGTTGCCCAGGCTGGAGTGCAGTGGCGCTGTCTCTGCTTCAAGTGATTCTCCTGGCTCAGTCCCAAGTAGCTGGGACTACAGGTGCCTGTCACCACACCCAGCTAATTTTTGTATCTTTAGTAGAGACAGGGTTTCACCATGTTGAGCAGACTGATCTTGAACTCCTTACCACAAGTGATCTGCCTGCCTCGACCCCCTAAAGTGCTGGGATTACAGGTGTGAGCCGCCGCTCCTGGCCTAGCCATTATGTATTTTTAAAGACGGTCTTACTCTGTCACACAGGCTGGAGTGCAGTGTCATAATCATCACTTGGTGGCACAATCATCACTCAAGCCAGCCTGTCACATCAGTGACTATAGGCATGCATCACTACAGCCAGCTAATTTAACTTTTTTTTTTTTTTTTTGCGGAGATATGGGGATGCCTCGCTGTGTTGCCCAGGCTGGTCTTGAACTCCTGGCCTCAGCAATCTTCCCGCCTCAGCTTCCCAAGTAGCTGGAATTACAGTTGCAAGTCACCACACCTAACTTTTTATTTTGAAATAACTTCAGATTTACAGATAAGTTTCCACGCATAATAAAAATAACTTGCAGGCTGAGCACAGTGGCTCACGCCTGTAATCCCAACACTTTGGGAGGCCAAGGCGGGAGGATCACTTGAGGCCAGGAATTCGAGACCAGTGTGGGCAACGTCGGGAGACCTCATTTCTACAAAAAAAAAATTAGCCAAGTATGGTGATGTGCAACTATGGTCCCAGCTACTCAGGAGGCTGAGGTGGGAGGATCACTTGTGCCCAGGAGCAATGAGCTGTGAGCGTGCCACTGCACTTTAGCCTGGGGTAACAGAACAAGATCCTGTCTCAGGGAAAAAAAAAAAAAAGAAACTTTCATAGATCTTCACCCAGATTTCCAAACTGTTAATACTTTGCTGCATGTGTTGGTTTCCACCTCTATTGTATGTGTTTTTTTTTCTCTAAGCCAATATGAGTAAGCTACAGGATATGGCATCCCTTGACCTCTTAATATTTCAGTGTATTTCCTAGAAGCGAATGCATTATCCTATATAGTCACAGTGCCTGTAACCACACCAGGAAGTTAGTATTGCCACCAGGCCTCACACTGTGTGCAGTGATGTTTCACAGGCTCACCCACTGTATATAGTGATATTTCTAGTCCCCTTCAGTCAGGAATGGTCCCTTGCCTTTCTGTCTTTCCTGACCTTGACCCCTCCAGAGCATGCGGCCGCCCCTTAGGCTGTGTGGTATTTGCTGGTGACTAGGCCCAGCATGGGCTTTGTTGGGAGGAGCACCGTAGTGGGACACCTGGTCCTTGCCAGGTGCCCTTTTATCACTGGGTTAAAAAGGTGCCGGTCAGGTTTTTCCATTGTAAAATAATTACTTTGTGCCCAGGTTAAATAGTAATGAGGCTGGGCATGGTGGCTCATGCCTGTAATTCCAGGACTTTGAGAGGCTGAGGTGGGCGGATCACTGGAGCTCAGGAGTGTGAGACCAGCTCAGGCAACATAGCAAAATCCCATCTCTACCAAAAATTTAAAAATAACCAGGTGTGGTGGTGTGCGCCTGTAATCCCAGCTACTTGAGAGGCTGAGGTGGGAGGATTGCTTGCACCCAGGAGGCGGAGGTAGCAGTGAGCCAAGATCATGCCCCTGTACTCCAGCCTGGGCTACAGAGTGAGACCGTATCTCAACCAAAAAAAAAAAAAAAAAAATTAATAGTGCCTGGGCAACATAGCATGACCTTGTTTCTACTAAAAAGAAAAACATCAGCCAGGCGTGGTGGTGTTGGTCCCAGCTACTTGGGAGGCCTAAGTCTAGGAGGTTGAGGTTGCAGTGAGCTGTGATTGCATCATTGCACTCCAGCCTAGGCGATAGGGTACGATCCTGTCTCAAAAAAAAATTGATAACGAGAATTTACCGGGAAGATGTATGGAGACTATGTAATTATCAGTAGTATTAACATCCACTTTTGATTCTCCTATTTTTTCAAATTGATTTTATTTGCAGACAGGGTCTTGTTCTCTTACCCCAGGCTGGAGTGCAGTGGTACGATCTCTGCTCACAGCAACCTCAACCTCCTGGGCTCAAGTGATCCTCCTGTCTCAACCCCCCAAGTATCTGGGACTACAGGGAGGCATCACCACACCTGGCTAATTTTTGTATTTTTTTGTGGAGACAGGGTTTTGCCATGTTGCCCAGGCTGGGAATTTCTTAATTTTTTAGAAACAGGGTCTTGCTCTGTCACCCCAGGGTGGAGTGAAGTTGGTACGATCATTTGTCACTATAGCCTCAACTCGTGGGCCCAGGCCATTCTCCCTCCTCAGCCTTCTAAGTAGCTAGGACTACAGGCACATGCCACCAGGCCCAGCTGTTTTATGTTTCAATGTTTTTGTGGAGATAGGTTCTCATTTTGTTGCCCAGGCTGATCTCAAATGCCTGGCCTCAAGAAATCCTCCTGCCTTGGTCTCCCAAGGTGCTGGTGTGAGCCCCCATGCTCACAGGTGTGAACCCCCATGCCCAACCTCACTGTTGATTCTTGACCAAATCAGCTATTAATAGGGCGGTTACTAAATGGTGGTTCTCTAACTTCATCCCTCCTTCATTGATTTGTGGGTCAATGGTCACTCTGTGGTAAGGAAGACTTCTCTCTTTGCTATTTATTTATTCAGGTATATCAGTGTGGATCAGGGGGCTGGGGGGAGGTGTGCATTGTGCTATTGAACAAGTTGTAATCTGTCCCTGCTCTCGTTGATTTTGATATCCAGATTGCCCCTGTTACAGCGGGAGCGAGTTACAGCGGGAGCCTGTAACTCGGGCCTGTTTCTGTGTCTCCCTCAGGACACCAGCCATACCCTTTGCTTCCTATGGCCTCCACCACACTAGCCTCCTAAAGCGACACATCTCTCATCAGACGTCTGTGAATGCAGACCCCGCCTCCCACGAGATCTGGAGGTCAGAAACTCTGCTCCAGGTGAGAGTTGAGCTGGTCAAAAGAAACTGTTCAGCCAGCTGGGCATGGTGGCTCGTGCCTATAATCCCCAGCACTTTGCGAGGCCTAGGTGGGCAGATGACCTGAGGTCAGGAGTTTGGGACCAACCTGGCCAGCATGGTGAAACCACGTCTCTACTAAAAACACAAAAATTAGTTGGGCGTGGTGGCAGGCGCCTGTAATCCCAGCTACTCGGGAGGCTGAGGCGGGAGAATCGCTTGAACCCAGGAGGTGGAGGCTGCAGTAAGCTGAGATCGTGCCATTGCACTCCAGCCTGGGTGACAGAACTAGACTCCATCTCAAAAAAAAAAAAAGAAAAAGAAAAGAAACTGTTGCCACCTTCCACTATGTGGGGCAGAGTCCCAGAGGCGGCCCCTCAGCCCGGGGCTGATTCTAAATTGTTGATATTTTCCTGCTGTGACATTTAGAAAACATGAAAGTAAATCTGCCCACCCTTTTAACTTGAATGTCATTGATGGCGTTTTTCATCCCAGGATCCCCTGTCCATGGAAGTTGTTTCGTTTTGCCTGTGGTGATATAATTGTTGCAGAGTCTTTTGGTTTCCATGACACTGAATGGTGAGGGGTCTGTGCAGCCTCCACAGGCCTTCCATTGATTCAGGGGATCCAAGTAGTAGGTGACAGATTTCCTTGTCTGCCCAGAGGGGCTCCAGCCTGTCAGGATGGTATGGGCTGGCTCACTTCCTGAGTGCTGGCCAACTCCCAGGTCCTGGCTGTGTCTTCTAGGCACACAGAGAGATTCAGCAGGTGCTGCTTCTGACGCTGGATCCTGGGGCTGACTTGGTAGCCACAGCCTTGCTTTACAGCCTGGCATGTAGATAAGATAGGATTCTATCTCCCATCTTATATGTAACTCCTAGTATTTGGGGTGCTGCACTTTTTGAAGCCTCCATACCATTTCACAGCATCCTCGCAGGGTGGAATGGTAAGAACCGTTGCCCCTGTTCACAGAGGGGACCATGATGCCCAGATGGCTCTTGGCTGTGTGGACCGTAGGCTGTGCTGGCCATGAAGAGGGCAGAAGATCATGACACAGCGCTTATAGGGAAGAACTGGAAGGTTCTGCTGTTCCCTGGGCCAAAGCATTTTTTTTTTTTTTTTTTTTTTTTTTTGAGATGGAGTCTCCCTCTGTTGTCCAGGCTGGAGTGCAGTGGCTCAATCTTGGCTCTGTGCAACCTTCACCTCTCAGGTTCAGGTGATTCTCCCGCCTCAGCCCCCCGAGTAGCTAGGATTACAGGTGCCCACTGCCATGCTCAGCTAATTTTTGCATTTTTAGTAGAGATGGGGTTTCACCATGTCTCGAACTCCTGACATCAAGTGATCCATTTGCTTTGGCCTCCCAAAGTGTTGGGATTACAGGCGTGAGCCACCGTGCCCGGCCCTTTTTGTTTTTTTAACTAAGAAAAAAATTTAATTATAAGATATATATAACATGAAACTTATTGTCTTAACTATTTCCAAGTGTACAGTCAGTAGTGTTGAATACAGTCATGTTGTTGTGCATGCAATCTCCAGAATGCTTTTCATCTTGCAAAACTGAAACTGAACCAGCCCGGGCGCAGGGGCCTCACACCTCTAATCTTAGTGCGTTGGGAGGCCCAGCAGGAAAGGATTGCTCAAGGCCGGGAGTTCAAGACCAGCCTGGCCAGCATAGTGAGACCCCATCTCTTCTAATGAAAAACAAGGAAATCAAACCATTAAACAATTCCCCACCCAGCACCTGGCAACCACTATTCTGCTCTCTGTTTCTATGGAGTTGACTCCTAGATCTCATACCCAGAGTATGCGTAGCACATAGTACTTATTTGTGTGTGAGTAGCATGCTTCACTTAGCATAATGGACTAAAGATTAATCCATGTTACAGCATGTGTCAGAATTTCCTTGCTTTTTAGGGCTGAATAGTGTTCCATTGTGTGGATGTACCACATTGTGTTTATTCATTCATCTCTCAGTAGACACTTGAGTTGCTGGGTTTTTTTTTTGTTTTTTTTTTGAGACCGAGTTTTGTTCTTGTTGCCCAGGTTGGAGTGGAGTGGCACGATTTTGGCTTACCACAACCTCTGCCTGTTGGGTTCAAGCGATTCTCCTGCCTCAGCCTCCTGAGTAGCTGAGCTGGAATTACAGGCATGCGCCACCACGCCCGGCTAATTTTGTATTTTTAGTAGAGACACTGTTTCTCCATGTTGGGTCAGGCTGGTCTCGAACTCCTGACCTCAGGTGATCCACCTGCCTTGGCCTCCCAAAGTGTTGGGATTACAGGTGTGAGCCACTGTGCCCAGCCCTTTTTTTTTTTTTTTTTTTTTTTTTTTTTTTAAATCAGAGTCTGTCTTTGTTGCCAGGCTAGAGTGCAGTGGTGCAGTCTTGGCTCACTGCAGTCTCAAACTCCTGGGCACAAGCAATCCTCCCACCTCAGACTCCCAAGTCGCTGGGATTATAGGTGTGATGCCTCACCACACCCAGCTAATTTTTGTATTTTTTGTAGAGACAGATTTTCATTATGTTGGCCAGGCTGGTCTGGAACTCCTGGCCTCAGGTAATCCCACCCACCTCGGCCTCCCAAAGTGCTGGGATGACAGGGTTGAGCCACCATGCCTGTTGGTTGCCTTTTTACTCTATCTATAGTATTTTTTCATGCTCAAGAGTGTTGATTTTGATGAAGTCTAGTTGTCTATTTTTTTTCCTTTTGTTGCCTGTGCTTTGGGCATCATATCTAATTAATCATTGCCAAATCTAGTGTTATGAAGTTTTCTCCCATGTTTTCTTCTAAGAGTGTATGGTTTTAGTGCTTATCCTCAGGTCGCTTACCCATTTTGAGTTATTTTTTGGTGATGGTGTGAAGGAAGGGCCCAGCTTCACTGTTCTGCACATGGGTATTCTGTGTTCCCAGCTCTGCTTGTTGGAGACACTGTCCTTTCCCCACTGGATGGTCTGACACCATTGTCAAGAATGGTTTGACTAGCTAATGCTTTTTTGCAGGTTTTTGTTGAAATGTGGCTTCATCACTATTCCTTGGAGATGTATCAAAAAATGCAGTCCCCTCATGCCAAGGTATGTTTTCAGTTTTTCTTCCCACCTCCTGCTTCTGACCCTGCTCAGCCTGCTGCTTCTTATCCTGCCTCTGAGTGAGTTTTCACAGGCTGGATGGTGGGAAGCAGAAACCCACCACCCACCTGTCACTCAGAAGCCAAATAAGAAGTGGGCATCGTTCTCTAGTTTCCGGTGGCGGGCAGGGGGCATTGCACCCTGATGTGTAGAAACTTGAGGCCTGGAAGTCTGGCCTCTCCGGGGCCCTCCCTGTGCAGCTTCCTGAGCCCCCTCCCTGGCAGCAGGAACAGATGAGGTTGTGGTGCTCTTGCTCTGGGAGTGGGGGAGCTGCGATGCCTCAGGGAGTCACTTTCTTGTCTGTCTCCTCGACCATCAGCAGTGCCTTTGTGCTTTCCCATGAAGGGGTGGCCTGGAGCCTCCTTTGCCTGCTCACCCTACTCCCCCACCTTCTCCAGAGCATGAGCAAGCAGCCCTTCTCGTGGCGAGTGGCACCTGGTGCCCCCCTGCATGCAGCCTGGCTTGCCTCCTCTCCCTCCGCCTCGCCTGTCCCTGCTCTCTCTCTCTGGGCAGCACGCTGCTTTCAGATGCATGGAGGTGGCGGAGGCCCTGGGTCATTCCTGCTGTTGCCGTTCCTGGAGCTAGCACCACCCCTGGACCGGTCAGAGTGAGAAAGCAGCTAGGTGAACCTTAGATCTCCAGTCAGTCATCTCCATGGAGCAGCTTGACTCATGCCCATCCGTGCCCTTGCCTGAAGTGGCATCAGCCACGTAGTCTGGTGCCCATGGCGTCTGTGCATCAGTATGCTTGGGAAACTTTGGCTTTGTCACTGACAGAATTATTGAGGGCTTCCTCCAGAATGTGGGTGATGGAGTTAAACTTCAGAAGAGCATCCTGTCACTTTTCCTCTGGTTCTGGCAAAGAGCTGTGGGTCTGCTTCTGCCACAGTCTGCAGCCAGTTCCATGGCCCCATGCTTTGCCATGTGGAGGCTCTCTCAGAGCATAGGGTCCCCCAAATCCTCACCCTCAGAATCACATGGGCGGAGAATGGGGAAAAGCTGAGGACCCCATCTTGGGCCTCTTGAGTCACAAAGAGCCTGCAGTGCCCTTCCTGCTTCCAGAGCAGACTTGCTGCATGTTCCTGGCCGGTGCCTGGGGGCCTGGTTATTCCCTGAGCCTGCTCCTCCCGTGGGGCTCTGGGACACTCAGCACTCGTGCATGTGGCGTGGCGTGGCGTGGCCTGGCAGGGGCAGAGGCCACTGCACCGCATTGTGTTCCTGTTGCTCCTTCTGCCTTCTGAGGGAGTGGAAGCACACCTACTTTCAAGAGTCAGCCAGAAAGGCTCTTTGAGGCTGTCACCTGTGAGGATTCTGTGTCCTCACGGGCCAGAGGAAGGGCAGGGGGCTGTCCCTGTGGAGGGCAGGAGGTGCAGTTCCCTTCTTCCCCACATTTGCTTCCTCTTGGCCAGACCTTGGGGTGGGTGGACCCTGCTCAGAATACCTTGCAGTGGCCGGACCAAGTACCCAGAGATGCTCCACTCTTCGCCTCTTCCAGTTCAGGCAAAACACAAAACGCAAGAAAACTTGGTGGGTGGGAGTCAGAGAAAGGCAGCTGTGGAGGTCTGTGTCTCCCAAGGCTTCTTGCCGCTTGTCCAGGCCTGTGCTACACGTACTGCCATGCAGAAATCCCTGCCCGTCCCCACTAGCCCTTATTTTCAGATGCAGGAAGTGAGGCTCCTGGGGTCATCCTCCTCACCCTGCTTGAGTCCAGGATGCATGCTTGCTCCCCAGTGGCCCTGTGGGCAGTAAGGATGGCCATGGCGCTGTAGGCCACTGTGTTCCTGCAAGCAAGGGCAGAGCCACACTGGGGAACTATGTGTCTGATTCCTCCCTGAGCCCCAGGTCTGGCACAGAGGAAGGCTGTGGAGGGCAACACCTCCCTGCCCTGCTCCTTCACTCCCTGCTCTGCGTGTCATGGCGACTGGCGTGTGTTCTGATTTCTCCTGTGTGGAGCCCAGTGGGTGTGCTGCTTGGGCAGGAGGCATGCTGCTGGCGGGGCAGGATGTGCACCAGGCCGGCTGTGGCTGCACTGGGCTGAAGGGGTGCTTCGGCAGGCCGTGGTGCTGCAGGGCAGCAGGTCGGAGGGTCCTGGCTAGGAGCCAGCTCAGCCTCAGGTTCCTGCTGCCTCTGGGTGTGTGTGGCTGTGGCCAGATCCTCAGGGGCTCCCGCCCTTGGGAACCCACTGTATCTGGAGGGTGGGAGTTTCTGGTGCGGTAGGAGAGGCTGCCTCCAGGAGTCAGAGCTGATGTGCACACCACCTTAGCTGACGTCCAGACTATGAGGGTGGAGGGCAGGGCCTGGTGGCCTGAGCCTGTGCTCCTCGTCTCTGTGCTACCCTTGGGGACCTGTCCTCGCCCTCAGTTCTCAGAGAGCCAGTCATGGAGGGGACATTGATTTGAGTTTTAGACACATAGGAATCAATCATGTCTTATACCAATTTGGTAAATTTCTTAAGACAACCCAGGGAAATCCAGTCAATTCCACATGTGTTTTCTGGGCAGAGTGCTCCTCCTGGAACATGCTCCGCTGGTTTCTTTTCTGAGCCTCAGGATCTTGAGGTCTTGGTGGCTGGCAGCATGTCCCAGTGAGGGCCCTGGGCTCTTGGAGGGCTCTGGTTTGCATTTGCCACACATAGTGTGACCTCAGTCACTGGGGAGAGTGGGTCCCGTCTTGAAGGGCAGTGAGTTGGGCCCTTCCAAGGAGCTAGAGAGGCCTTTAGGCCCCAGCAATACTGAGGGGCCACCCAGGTGACCTGGAGGCCCCTCTGCCCGGGCCTTCAAAGCGAGGAGAGTGTGGCCACAGCCCTGGCCTGGTTGTGGAGGGGGGTGCTGCGCTGGCCCGCGGCTGCTGGGACTGCAATTGTTTGGATTGTCACTGACCGTGCTTTGTTTTTGTTTTTTTCTCCTCACTCCTGGGCTCGTTCTCATTGCTTTCTTTCTCTCTCCGCTTCCCCCTCCCGTGTCTGGTCCTATCTCTCCCCTTCCCCACCCCATTCTCTTGTCCTCTGCTCTTCGGCCTCTTCCGGCATCTCTCTGTTTCTTATCTCAGCTGGAGGTTCTGCACTACCGACTCAGTGTCTCCAGCGCCCTCTACAGCCCCGCCCAACCCAGCCTCCAGGCCCTCCACGCCTACCAAGTACTGGCTCATTCGTTCCCTTCCTCCTGCCCAGAGTGCATGTCCATGCCTGGCAAAGCAAGGGGCCGCCGGGGCCGGCCGCTGGTGACTCAGAGGCTAGTTCCAAGCAGAACGAAGCCCCTGTGTCGGGGGGAGGCAGGGGTCAGCCTCCAGCCTGGCTTGGCCCCTGGCTTTGTAGACTAGTTTGGTTGGGGGTGGGGGTGGTGGCTTTGTGGCAGAACGAGGCATGTGGGCATGTGGCCCTGGCTGTCCAGGCTCCAGGCCAGTGGAGGTGTCACAAGCTCTCCAGTGTTGGAGGCCTCGTGCTTGGCCCTGGTTTGAAGAGCTGGAGTCCTCAGGCCTCAGCAGTGGCTGGGTTCACTGCACTCTGCAGGGTCTGGCGCTTAGGAAGGAGCTGAAGACGCAGAGGCCTGGGACTTACGGGTGGTGTGGGTTCTGCCTTGTTCAGAACTGTCACCCAGCCTGGAGGTGCTGTGACCCAGAGCTTGCGTGTGAGGCAGGGGGTGGGAAGGACCTGGGGCTTGACCCTATAGCCCACAGAAGCTGTCAGTCCTTGACAGCCCAGCCAGGACCCGGCCTTCACCTGGGGAGCCCTGGCCGCTCATACACACCTCCAGAGGCAGATTAGAGTGGGTGGTGACCTCATAGAGGTTGCAGCTGCCTAGGCAGAAATGACAAGTGTGTGGATGGATTTGAGGTCAGTGAAGCAGAGTTCAGACCTGTAGGGGACTTCAGGGATGACAGAGGAATCTGTGAGAGCCGGGGGAGACGGGCTGTGCTCACAGCCAGTGATCTGTCCCATTCACCTGGGAAAGAGCACACATGATTGAACAGGAATTTGAGCATAAGATGAGAAAATGTGTTGGCTCCTTAGCGCTGGTGGGCTGGGATGGTGGCCACAGCACACAGGGGCACCTCATTCCGCAGGAGCCACTGCAGAGGAGAGGAGGGACCTGAGGGCTTGCGCCAGGGAGGGAGGACAGTGGTCCAGAAAGCATCTGGCAAACCCCATGGTGGGAGGGTGACCAGCGAGACCCAGGTGGGGTGAGCTGAGGTGCTGTGAGTCTCAGCCCAGTGGGAAATGTGCGGCTTTGGGGACACATCCTTAAGAAGCAAGCAGGTGACTGTGGCCAGGGACTCCATGTGGGAACATGGCCCAGGAGGGGTGCAGAGCTGAGGGAGAAGTTTGGCTCAGCAAACCTATGGGAAAATAGCCTGAGAGGGTTCCATGTGACTGCCGGCGGCAGGGGCGGACAGTGGGCCCTCCAGACCCTTCGGAAGGACCAGGTGAGGTGGGTCAAGTGCACCAGCAGGGGAAAGCAGTTTTCCAGTTCACATGTGGAGGTCTTCCCCTCCCCTTAGCTGCAGGAAGGATGTTACGGCTCAGGATCCCAGGCCAGGATTGGAGGGAGGGCCTGGGCTGAGACTGGAGGAGGAGAAAGACCCTGGTCTAACTTCCCACCCCACTGGTGCCCTTCTAGTTGGGCAGTATAGGTACAGGTATTATGTCTCATACTTTTCTCCTTCTGTCTTTTTTTTTTTTTTTTTGAGATGGAGTCTCACTCCGTTGCCCAGGCTGGAATGCATTGACATGGTCTCGGCTCACTGCAATCTCCACCTCCCAGATTGAAGTGATTCTTCTGCCTCAGCCTCTTGAGTAGCTGGGATTACAGGCATGTGCCACCCACCCGGCTAATTTTTGTATTTTTAGTAGAGATGTAGTTTCACCATATTGGCCAGGCTGGTCTCAAACTCCTGACCTCAAGTGATCTGCCTGCCTTGGCCTCCCAAAGTGTTGGGATTATAGGCGTGAGCCACCGCACCTGGCCCTTTCTTCCAAAACAATGCAAATTCATTGCCCAAAGACTTAACAATACAGATAGAGAAAAATAGCCAGCCACGATGGCTCATGCTTGTAATCCCAGCACTTTGGGAGGTTGAGGCAGGCGGATTGCCTGAGCTCAGGAGTTTGAGACCAGCCTGGGCAACATGGCGAAACCCCTGTCTCTACAAATACAAAAATTAGCCTGGTGTGGTGGTGTGTGCGCCTGTGTTCCCAGCTACCCGGGAGGCTGAGATGGGAGGATCCCTTAAGCCCTGGAGGCAGAGGCTGCAGTGAGCCGAGACCACGACACTACAGCGCGGGTGACAGAGTGAGACCCTGTCTCAAAAAAAAGAAAATGCCTCCCACCCCATAGCTCCATCTTCAGACTCAGCCACTTATCTCTGGGGTGTGTCACTTGGACCTGTGGGGACAGTTTCCTGACGGGGAGACTTGAGTGGGTAGCGATATGGGCAGTGGCCCGTGCGGGGTCTACAGCATACCAGGATATACCTGGAGGCTGGGCCCTGCACCAGCCTCAGCAGCACAGATGTGTTACGGCCCAAAGGGCTAGGGGACAAGTGTGGAGAGGCGAGCATGTCCACTCAGACTCAGGGTCCTGCCCTCAGCACCCCTACTTCCCTGCCCTCGTCTACTCTCGATGCGCCCACCTGCCCTCCCAATGCTAAACAACCAGAGGAAGCCCATGGCCACCAAAAAGGCTTTCCTCTCCGGCTAGATCTCCAGGATCCTGCTTGTATGTTACAAATCAAAAGTTTGGCCTAGGCTGGACACAGTGGCTCACGCCTGTATTCCCTCTCTTTGGGAGACCTGAGGTCAGGCCAACATGGTGAAACCCCATCTCTATGAAAAATAAAAATTAGCTGGGCATGGTGGCACACACTTGTCGTCCCAGCTACTCAGGAGGCTGAGTCAGGAGAATTGCTTGAACCTGGAGGCGGAGGTTGCAGTGAGCCGAGATTGCGCCACTGTGCTCCAGCCTGGGCGACAGAGGGAGACGTTGTCTCAAGAAAAAAAAAAAAAGTTTGGCCTAATATGCTTGACTGTGCTTTTGTCTTGGGGTTTTCCTGACCACAGGTCCCTGGGCAACAGAGGAAGTGACGCCCGGGGCTTCTACTGGGCCGAGTTCTCATCTGGCTGTGTCCAGGATGAGGAGCAGGTGGGAGGAATTGGGGAGGAAAGTGAAGCCATGGGGTTCTTATTTTTGAACCAGGTCTTACTCTCACCCACGCTGGAGTGCAGTGGCACGATCCTAGCTCACTGCAGCCTCAAACTCCTGGGCTGAAGTGATCCTCCCACCCTAGCCTCCTGAGTCATTAGGACTATAGGTGTGCACCACCACACCCAGCTAACTTTTAAAAATTTTTTGTAGAGACAGGGTGTCCCTATGTTGTCTAGGCTAATCTCGAACTTCTTCTTAGCGATCTTTCCACCTTGGCCTCCCAAAGTGCTGGAATTACAGGTCTGAGGCACCACACCTGGGTTCCATGTGCTTTCTGCACACACTTGGGAGGCAGGTGGGAGACCCTGGATCCAGAGCTTGTGGGTGATGCTGGCTTTCTCCTGCCCTGGGGATCAAGACAGGCACCAGCGCCCAAGGGCACAGCCTGTGCCACCCGCTGCGGATTTGCAGCCGTGCAGAAGCAGGGCTGGGAGGCCCTCTGCAGATGTGTCTGTCTTAGTGAGGCCTCCCCAGGGCTGTGTGGGCGCTGGGCCAAGCACTTCCATACCACAAGCTGGTCACAGTTCAGACCAAGCAGTGCAAGGCACATCTGGGTGCCAGGCACAGTGGTGCCCCATGGGGTGGCCCCACTCCTGGCCTGGCTCATGCCTCCCGTGGGGGCAGCAGAGCAACTGGCTCAGGGCGGGATGTGGTCAGACCTGGAGGCGGAGTGCTATGGGTGCCACGCTCCTTCCCAGGCCCTCACCCCTCCTTCTCCACCCAGGAGTCGTTCACGCCTACTGAGGAGCATGTGTTGGTGGTGCGCCTGCTGCTGAAGCACCTGCACGCCTTTGCCAACAGCCTGAAGCCAGAGCAGGCCTCACCCTCCGCCCACTCCCACGCCACCAGCCCCCTGGAGGAGTTCAAACGGTGGGTGGCCCTTGCGGCTTCCCACCACTGCCGTCTCCCCCACTTTCCCCTCCTAAGGTGTCGCCCACAGCGACCTCT